>NC_000009.12:31676666-31828181 GCF_000001405.40 Homo sapiens | reverse complement strand
TGAGCCAGTGAATTCATGTTATAAGTAGTTTCCTGACTGTTTAAACTAATGTACATCTGATATTGTGGTAACTGCTTTTTTTTTTTTTTTTTTAACCATTGTTAATGGTTTCTTTTCAAACCCCTGAATCCTCCCTTGGTCCCAAAGCACTTTGACAAGCACATTAGATGGTTAAGTTAAAGCTTTTTTTTTTTTTTTTCATTTTTTGTGTGTATATAGTAGGTATATACATTTATGGGGTATTTCAGATGTTTTGACATAGGAATGTAATACACAGTAATCACATAATGGAGAATGAGGTATCCATCCCCTAAAGCATTTATCCTTTCTATTACAAACAATCCAATTACCCTCTTTTAGTTAATTTATCATGTACAATTAAGTTACTATTGGCTATATAGTCCCCCTGCTGTGCTATAAAATATTAGGTCTTATTCATTCTTTCTAACTATTGTGTTTTGTACACATTAACCATCCCTGCCTCCCCCACAACCCTCCACTACCCTTCCCACCCTCTGGTAATCATCCCTCTACTCTCTAGCTCCATGAGGTCAATTGTTTTGAATTTTAGATTCCACAGATAAGTGAAAACATGTGATGTTTGTCTTTCTGCACCTGGCTTATTTTACTTGATGTAATGATCTCCATTTCCATCCATGTTGTTGCAAATGACAGGATCTCATTCTTTGTTATGCCTGAATAATACTCCATTGTGTATATGTACCACATTTTCTTTATTCAGTCATCTGTTGATGGACACTTATGTTGCTTCCAATCCTTATCTATGGTGAGCAGTGCTGCAACAAACATGGGAGTGCAGATATCTCTTAGATATACTGATTTTCTTTCTTTGGGGTATAAACACAGCAATGGGGTTGCTGAATCATATGGTAGTTCTATTTTTAGTTTTTTGAGGAACCTGTAAACTGTTCTTCATAGTGGTTGTACTAATTGACATTCCTGCCAACAGTGTACGAGGATTCCCTTTTCTCCACATCCTCACTGGCATTTGTTATTGCCTGTCTTTTTTATATAAGCCATTTTAACTGGGTAAGACAACATCTCATTGTATTTTTGATTTGTATTTCTCTAATGATCAATGATGTTGAACACTTTTTCATATGCCTGTTTGTCATTTGTATGTCTTTTTTTAGAAATATCTATTCAAATCTTTTGCTCATTTTTTGTTCAGATTATTGGATTTTTTTCCTACAGAGTTGTTTGAGCTCTTTATATGTTCTGGTTATTAATCCTTCATCAGATGGGTAGTTTGCAAGTATTTTATCCCATTCTGTGGGTTGTTTCTTCAATTTGTTGCTTGTCTCCTTTGCTATGCAGAGGCTTTTTTTTTTTTTTTTTTTTTTAATGGAAGTCTTGCTCTGTCGTCCAGGCTGGAGTGCAGTGGTGCGATCTTGGCTCACTGCAATATCCGCCTTCCGGGTTCTAAAGATTCTCCTGCCTCAGCCTCCAGAGTAGCTGGGATTACAGATGCCCACCACCATGCTTGGCTACTTTTTGTATTTTTAATAGAGATGGGGTTTCCCCATTTTGGCCAGGCTGGTCTCGAACTCCTGACCTCAGGTAATCTGCCTGTCTTGGCCTCTCAAAGTGCCGGGATTATAGGCCTGAGCCACCGTGCCCAGCCAGAGGCTTTTTTTAAGGAGAGAAATAGAGGCAGCAAGAGACTTCGAAATGTAGTCGTGAGAACAGCATCTGTTCTTACTATAATCACTTATAAATATGACCCATGTATCATTCAGGTATCATTTTAAATATCATTTCTCTAATGAAGGCTTCCATTTATTTACAGACCTGTTTATCCACCTCAATTCCACATACCCACAGTACTTAGCCTCTTGAAAACACCCAAATTTGAACAAGAAATCACAAGTGTAATGACTTCTTCCCCAGGGATTCCAATCCCCCTCAGGCTTAGTAACAAAGATTTTTTTTTTTTTTTTTTGAGACAGAGTTTCACTCTTCTTGCCCAGCCTGGAGTGCAGTGGTGCAATCTCGGCTCACTGCAACCTTTGCCTCCCAGGTTCAAGCAATTCTCCTGTCTCAGCCTCCCGAGTAGCTGAGACTACAGGTGTACACCACTACGTCTGGCTAATTTTTGTATTTTTAGTAGAAATGGGGTTTCACCATGTTGGCCAGAATGGTCTCGATCTCTTGACCTTGTGATCCGCCTACCTCGGCCTCCCAAAGTGCTGGGATTACAGGCGTGAGCCACTGCGCCTGGCCATAACAAAGCTTTCTTATCTCTGTTTCTCCAGCATTTGGCATGCTGCCCAGGGCTTAATAAGCGTGTGTGAGAGTGAGAGGTGGTAAAAGGGATAGAAGAAGGAAGGAAAAGAGAGAAAGTAATAGGAAGAATGAGTCCAAAAGTAATTTGAAAAAGTTGAAAACTGTGTTGACTTCAGTAATTAGAAGAACCCAAGGCTCTGCTCTTGAATATTACTTTTAGAATGATGGCAACAATAGACCTTGAATAACAAAGAAATAGCTCTGATAATGACATCTGTTTGCTTGCCAAGCTCTGTAGATGTGAAATAAGGGGAATAGTACAATCAGCAATTAAGTAGACCCATCAGCCTTTATATAAAACCTATTACTATTCTCTCACAGTAATAAAAAAAAAAGTATAAAAGGAATAGAATGAGTACAAGGGCTAGTTTCAAAGAAACGGCAGACAGAATGGCTCAGGCAAACGAAATCACTCCCAACAGCACTGAAAAGCAACAGTGAAGCACAAGCAACATGGTTCAAAGATTCCAAATTATGTTGTGTCATTCTTTCCCATAATTGTTGTAAACGGATTACAATTAGCCTTGCAGGCCTTTCCTTCTTAGAGTGTAAGCCTTGGGAAATCAGGGAGCTTTCTTTAACCTTGGATGACTTTTACTTCTCTCAGATAAATACCCTCCACAGTCCCTTTCACCAAAGACTGCTTCTGTCAGCAGTGATAATGCCTATTCCCATTTCTCCTATGTGTGAAATGAAGCAATATTTTGGTTTTAAAACTTTGACCATCCACACCTATCACCTCTTAAGTGCAAACCATGATCAGAGAAACACTAGATAGAGAGTGTGACTGGCCTCTTGTGAAATCATTGTTGTCTCTTGGAAAAGCAAATAAGCCTCATGCCTCATGCCAGATTGTCACATGAAGTCACACGCTTATGAGTTGACAGGGTCACTAAATTCACGTTTCACCACTCAGGTCTGAGAGATGAATTGACTATTTTTTTTAACTGAAAAAAAGGTGAATAGTCTTTGTTTGTTAATTCAAGGTGCCATAGCAACTCAGGATGTCCAGAAAATCAAACTAGTTTTTTGTTTGCTTTTTTTTGCTTTGCACAAGCAAGAGCAGTTAGTAAAACAGCTTGGCTATAAATTCTGCAGGTAGAAACAGCAATGAATTAGTAGACTTCTAGAGAATAAGTAATCCAGGAAGATAAATTTATGTGTATTCCATATTGGGAAGAAAATGGAGAACCTTAACCATTGATACAAAGGAGGCTACTGAGCAATTCACTGCCCCCACTAAAGCCAGCCTCCAAGAGATTTAGCAGACTGCAAACCACTTGGGGGAAAGAGCTGAGTCGCATTCATTTTTGTTTCCTCACTGCCCCTCACTGCCATCCCCAGAGTACGTTCTCCTTAAATGGTTACTGGCAGAATTCTTCACTGTCAAGTATTTGGAAGTGCGATTTACAACTCATAACCGTTACTCTTTACCACACACTCACTTACTCTATAGCCTCTTGCTATCCAATTGTGCCCTCAGTGAAACTGCCCTCCAAACTTACAATCTCTTTACAACAAAATGTATGTTATTATTTTACTTCAAAATAAATTTATTTTATTTAATAACTAAATTTAATAGCCTGAACGGAGTCTTCAGCTTATTTGGCCGTCGTGTAGTATTTAACATTTGACCACCATGATTTCTTAAAACTTTCTTTTCCATTGACTTCCCATGCGTCCTGTTATCTGAAGTCCTCTATCAGACCCTCTCCCTAAATCCTTGTCTTTCTCATGTATTCTCAGACTGCACAGTTTACAAGATTCTGTCCTTTATCTTCTCCTTATTATACTGTCTTATAGAGAGGAGCCTTAAATCTTCATTCGTATATTTGACTATTCCACAGAAGGCAAGTTACTAGGTGAAAGAGTATGTGTATTTAAAAAAATCTCTTGATTCACATTACAAATTTCTTTCCAGGAATGTCATACCAGTTTACATTCCACTTATAGTACATTAGATGCCCACTTTGCTAAACCTACATTAATATCGAATGCTGGCTTTAAAATATTTGCTAATTTGACAGAAAAAAATAATATCACAATGGTTTTTCCTAAGTAGTTAAGCATCTCATGATGGCACATGCTCTGAGCTGTCCCATACTTTCTGCCATTTTTAGGTTGGGCATCCCTGAGTGAAAGTGAAGAGAGAGAAAGTATCAAAGGGACCAAGAGTTTACAGATCCCAGAAAAGACAATTTGCAGAATTAGTTTGGTAGACAAGATGGTTTTGTGTGTTGGAGGTTATAACCCCTTTTATGACGCATGAAAGTTGTGAATCCTGAAACTGGGTAGGGGTGAGTCAGTGTTTCTTCACCTTCTTTAGTAAATTCTGACTTGCTTTAGAGCATCACGGAGTGCAGAGTTTAAGAAGGTGTTCCTCATTATTTCCTCATTCATAAAGTAGTAGTTAGAAATTCTGCTCAGATTTGGGCAGATTTTCCATGTATTTAATATACAGGGCCACTGCTATTGTTTGTGATTTTATCCATCTTTATAAAAGTTTAGAGTAGGTATACCAAGCATATGCAGTCTCTTGCCATGCAAATCTCTAATGAATTCCTGAAGCTCTTCAGTTTATTTCAGAAATGTCACTAGCACAAAAACTTTATGAAAGATGCAGTCATCTTACAGAACGATTCATGAAGATAAATAAGACTCATACTCTTGTTTTCAAGTGGCCCACTTAACCAGTTGAAGTAAAATAAGTAAAGCATATACATGACTATAGATCAAATGTGATAAGTAAAGTACAAATAAAGAATGTAAAGGATAATTATAAGAATCATCAGGAAGGAAAATTCATAATCAGATGGAAACGGGAAAAATTTCAAACATAATATGGCATTTGATATAAACCTAAAAAGATAGATAGGATTTTCACAAGTAGCATGAGGCTCTGGTTGGGAAAGAGGAAATAGCATTTGAAATTGAGGAAACTGTGCAAGAGCAAAGAGTATGGATATATGGGGGAGCAGCTTCTCGAAACTGGTAGGTACATATTCAAATTTGGATGTTAAATTCAAGATGATGAGGTTGCATTACATTCTGCAGCTATTAGGAGCCCCTGAGAGCCCCTGAATAAGAAACAGATGTGATGTTAAGCTTTATTGTAAAGTGGTAATTCTAATAGCAATGTTAAATCTAGTTTAGAATAAAGAATAGGAGTATGATGCCTAAATAGAAAGTTATTTCATTAGTCTAGGAAGAGGGGAAAGTATACTTCAATTGCGGAGGCAAGAATGAGAAAGAAATTGAGAAAGCAAATAAAGAAAGTTCTGGTAGAAGCAAAAGCTAATTACTTAATACCTAACTGAATTTAGGACAAGTGGGTAAATTTCAAGTCCAGATGCCTAGAAGACTATTAAATTAATCACATTATTAATAGATAATAAAAGCAGAAGAGCAAGAAATTATGTAAGAAGAGAAGTGAGTTTGGGTTTGAACATACTGATTTTAATTTGACAGTTTTCATTCATTTATTTGAAAATAATAATAAGCAATTAGATAGGAAAATTTGGGAGTTGGGAGAGAAAAAGCAATTAGACATGTTTAGGAACAATTACTATTATTGATCTTGGGATGAGCATATCATCCGAGATAGGCAAATGAGATTCCTCTTTTAGGAACAAAATAAAGGAAAGAATGCCTAGTTCTGTTTTGGTGACACAGAAGTTGCTGACAGTGCCATGCCATTCAAGTTGAAGCAAGCTGTTTTAAGAGAAAGAAGCAAGCACAGAGGGAGGAATGGAGTTGAGGGATGGAGAGAGAAAGCCCTGGTAGCACTTGAGTCCCTCAGAAATGACTGCATCCCTTTCCATGGTTACTTGGGCCTTTTAAAAAAATTATCTCTGAGAAGAGAATTGCTAAATTAATTTGAAAAGCATTGCTATAATTTGTAACAATACTGTCACAAGATCCTTAGGGTGTCGATTTTCCAGCTGGAAGCTTCTGTGGCCAGTGGTGCCTTTGCCTGAGTTTTGCTCAGGCCCACTGGGCTCATTCTGCTCACTTGGTCTGGCAAGCTGTGTTCAGCTCATGCTACCAGCCGGGATCCCATGCCTGCCAAAAGTGAGCCAGGCACAAAGGAGCAAAGGGTGTGTGAGCGAACAAGTGGCAGGTCTGGCCACTGCACACAGCCAGGCACGCTGGCTGCTGCAGTGGGGTGGGCAGCTCCAGGCACTGGCACAAGCACCAGCGTCATGCAGCCTGTGGTTGGATGAGGGGAACGTGGTGGCATCTGGAAGCTTAGAGATGCCAGAAACTGCAGAGCCCCCAAGAAGGTGTCACAGCCCTGGCTAAGGGAGCCCCTAGGTTTGGGATCCTAGAAGGGTCACAGCTCTTCTCTCCTTCCCATTGCCCACAGTGTGGTGAGCAGAGGGGTGGAGTGCATGTTTCAGCCCTGTTTGTGTTAAAGCTTTTTTCTGTCCTGGCATTTGGTGGGTCCTGAGTTCTTTTCCTGTGTCCAGGAAGAATGAGGCATATGGACAACTGGAGGCTGAGCAAGGGGAAGAGAAGCTTTATTGAGCAACAGTACAGTTCTCAGGAGACCTGAAGTGGGTAGCTCCTTTCCACATGCAGGTCATCCCAATGAGTGTGTAGCTCTCAGCAGAGAGGGAACCCTTAGCAGGTAGCACCTATCTGCAGGCAGGTCATCCTGGTTGAGCCTGCAGCCCTCAGAGGAGAGGAGACCCAGAGTGGGTAGCTCCTATCTGCAGGCAGGTCATCCCTATGTCTAGCTGAGTCTGGCTGAGTCTGGGGTTTTTATGGACTCAAAAGGAAGTACATGCTGACTGATCCATGGGTGGCCATAGGTGGGCCTGAAAAAAGCACCATAAGTTCTCACTTGGGGCCACGGACTCCACCTGGAGCTGGCAGCCCGACCCCATGCTTCAGGCTGTCTCTGACTTGAAGATGGGCAGGACCTGTCCCTTTCCACAGAGGAAACTGTTGGCCTCCTGCCGTCAACATGCCATTCATGGCACCCAGGCTGTTGGTGCCAAGGGGCACCTTCAGGCTTGCACTGAGCTGCCTTCAGCCCCCACTCCCCAGTCTCCTTCCCAAGCTCATCAGCACCCAAAGTCCAGAGGGGCTTGAGGTGGCATGCAGTACTTCCCTGAGCATGTTTCCACACAGTGGGGTTGCGACAGTATCTGGTCTCAGCTACTACTTTGCTCTGTGCTGGAGCAGGCACTGGGGGTGGGGAGAGGCCACGGAGTTCGAACAGGCACTTCTGAGCCTGCAGGGCCAGGAGGTGCTTCCTGGGCCCCCAGGAGTGCGGGGATGCCCAGCTCTGGAGCTGTGGCTGGGTGGCTGCAGCTGCACCCATGGAGTGAGGGTCTCCTGGCCCACCAACTTGGTAGGAGGCAGGGTTCCCACCTGTTGCCAGCCCTGACAGGCTCCATGGAGTGTACAGTTCCAGCTGTGTTTTTCTCATCCTGGCAGCAGCCACTCCCAATGGGTGTCCACCACCATCAATAGGAATCCTAAATGTTATACTATTAAAAAGAAAGAAAGAGTCTTCAGCTATTTAATTCTAATTTAAATTTGCTACAGAATTTATTCTGCTTTGATCTGAGCAATGTGAAAGTCTCTGAAGATAAATTCGTTATATAATTGGAGAGAGGACTGAATGGAGCAGGAATGTTTTGAAGTAAGTCTGGTCCAGTAGTGAAGACAAACCCCAATTTATGAACAGTCAGAATTCCAAATTCCCTTTTGTAAATTGGCTGGTTAGCAGTTGCAATAGTTTGCTCCACAGAAACCTCACTGTGAATAGTGATGATGTGCCCAGGATACCTTGAAAAAGACAATTCTCTATAAAATATGACAAATTAGACACAAAAACAAGTTTGACCATGTGTAGCATTTTTTTTTTTTTTTTTTTTTTTTTTTTTACAACTCATGCTTTGCAGCACTTCAGGACACCAGGTATGGAGCTAACTTAGGTGGATTTCCATGAGCTGGAAGAAATCCCTGTTCCCACCTCTTAAAAAGGCTATGGCAACTGTTGCATGCAGATTCAGGTTTTAAAAATTCTTGATGTGTGACGAAGGACTAGGACATATTAGTGGTGGCAGAGAGGTCCCTAGGCATTCCAACTGTGAAGAGAAAGGGGAATTCTCTCAGTGCTTATATGCAGTTGATTCCCAGTTATAGTTTTGTAAAATATATCTGTAAATCAGGGGTTTCAGACTGACTTGTATATATCAAATAGGTGAATTTAAATTTCGACTATCTCTGTAATAAAGACAAACATCATGACAACATAATTACAAGGTTTTGTGTTCTGAGATAAAGTATAAATGAAAAAGAGATAAATATTACAAATACCCTCAGACATCATTTCCTTCATGCATTCACATGCACATTTAGGAAGTCCTTATTTTTATTTTTATTTTTTTTTGAGATGGAGTCTCGCTCTGTCATCCAGGCTGGAGTGCAGTGGTGCGATCTTGGCTCACTCCAACCTCTGCCTCCTGGGTTCAAGTGATTCTTTTGCCTCAGCCTCCCAAGTAGCTGGTACTACAGGCATCGGCCACCAGGCCCAGCTAATTTTTGTATTTTTAGTAGAGACAGGGTTTCACCATATTGGCCAGGTTGGTCTCAAACTCCTGACCTCGTGATCCACCTGCCTCAGCCTCCCGAAATGCTGGGATTACAGGTGTGAGCCACCACGCCTGGTGAGTAAGTCCTTATTAAGTACCTCCCATACTTTTCATACATTCAGCAAAATGCCAAGCCCTGGAGATACAGAAGTAAGTAAACTTGGCAACTCATAGTGTATAATAAACAGAATAATTAGTTAAAAAATAATTAACAATGTATTATTTGGACCAAAGAAGTCACTTACACAGTTGTGAATTCTTCTAAGAAGCTCTTATTTTCTCCATATCAATTATTTTTCGAAAATATAAAGTATATATTAACTTCTTATTTATTTGTCTCCTCATTTGAAAATGAGTCCCTTGGGGCAGGGAAAAAAATGAACTGTCCTTCTCACACATTTACAGGGAAAAGTATGAAGAATGAGTGCTGTTTACCAGGCTGTCAAGGAGAATAGCACAGACAAAGTCAGGAATAGAAAGAAAAAAGAAAGACTATCTCACATGCTTTCACATGCTTTATCTCACTGAGTCATTGTAGAAGAGTGACAGTAACAACAATAATAATAATGGAAAATAATAGCAAATATTGCCATAGGGCTGACCATGTCCCAGACACTGCTATTGATCATGTTGGGTACATTCACACATACAATTTTTACGTGCCTGTGTATTGCTGCTATTATAATCCTATTTTACAGGAAGATGACACTGAACTAAGGCAGATATTATGCAACTTGCCAAAGGTCACATGGCTGGTAGGAGCAGGATCCAGGATTTGAACCCAGATAGTCTGGTAGGAGATTAGGCTGAAAGGTCAGACAGGAACTATATCAAAAAGAGCATAAATTTCATGCTAAGGAATCTGTCTTTGGCTTGGAGATAATGGGGAACCACTGATGGGGGATTTCTGCAAGGGATCTACATGATCAGAAAGAGTGTTCTGGAGGAGTGAAGGATGGACTTGAGACAGAAGAGGAATGGAAACAAGGAGAGGAGGATAGTGGTTACTGCGGTAGTTCACGGAAGAAATAATGAGTCTAAATTAGGACTGTGGTGAAGGAGGAGAAAGAAAAAGAAAGAGTTCAAATTATTGAATAGACATAAGCCCCAGGAGGATGAAATATTCTACCAAATTACACTCCTAATAGCCAAGTTTGAGTCTGTACATTGCACTGCCACCTTACCCACATTGAATGATTAGCATTGTTTCTGATTCCAGTTATTGACTTGTTGGAGATATTAACTTTTTCATATTTACAGATTATTTGTATGTAGGCAAATTTTTCTTTGTCTATTTTTTTCTATCATTTTCCTTTTGATATTTAAAATTTCTGGATTATTTTATGTGGCCCTACATGTGACTCTGGTAGAGGCACTCTGATCTCATCTCCTGTCCCTTAGCTCTGTGGGAAAAATTAACCTGACCAGCAATTGACTCCCTCCTAAAAGGTGATGGAAATTTAGGCAGTATCTTAATTAAAATAATAAGTTTTGCTGATAAAGATAAAAAATTTATCTGTGATATACTTAGTTTAATGTTCCCATTGAATGCCCAAGTGGATTGAACTATGCCGGGAGAATGCAGAATTGGAAGTAACTATTTAAGAATTGTTAGTGATGCTTAAAACCATGGACATAGACAAGATCACCAAGGAAGAATATACAGAGTTAGAATGGAAAAGTAAAGAGCCTTATTTAGATGCCCTGGAGATGCCCATTTACAGATTTAGAGGGTGAGATCCATAAGAGGGTGAGACAAGGGTGAGAGTGAGAGAAGAAGACCCAGCAAGGAAAACCAGAATTAATGATTAGACAGATGTGGTGGGGGTGGAAATGGGAACAAATACTAATGTTTATGCAGAAAAAAATGAATTTTCCAGACCAAGAGAGTAGTGGAGAGACACTGAGGACAGAATAAGAGGAAGAATAAATACAACCTTTGTATGTATCCATCAGGTAGCCTTTGGTGAGTTTAGCCAGAGATTTCATGGATTATTAAGGATGAGACTGGATTTCCTTTATGTTGAGAAGTGAGCAAAATAACAAGAACTGAAGTCCTCAAGCATACAATATTGTTTGAAAAACTTTGCTGTTAATGAAAGGAGGCAAGAAGAAAGGTCACGATGGTTAATAGAAAGAAATGTAGGGTCAAGAATGGGCTAGGTTTTTAGAATGAAGAAAACTCGAATATTTTCATTGTGGGAAGGGGGAGACTAAGCATGAGTGGCTCTTTGCAATTACAGGAGATGAAGCAAATTTGGAAGAGATGTAAGAGAATGGGATTCAAAGAATAGATAGAACAACTATGCTTGGATAGAATAAAACATATAAAGAAAGATGAATCATTTTTTGAGTTCAGAGCAATTGAGCAAATATGTATTAAGAGGCTAAGTGTGAGGCCACCGTTTTCAGCTGCATTGAATTTCACCCACACAAAGATTATTAATCCCCATTTATGCCCCTAAGAAGCTTATAGTCCAGTGGAGATGTTGGTGATTGGGGTATGGGAAGGACAATGGGGATGCTCCTGATGGATGTGATATATTTTCTATAAAGTGGGCAGTAAAGTCGTCTCCCTTGAAAGTGAGGGCAACTGGGATTGGAAAAGAGACTTGAGAATGTGAGAAAGATTCAGCAATTCTGGTGACAGTAAGGAGTAAAGAAATGGATCAGGGGCAAGTAACAGGATTACTGACGGGTCTAAAAACCCAGAAGAGGTTAGAAACTGTTTACTTGAAATGTCATCAATCTTTAAGCCTGTGTGATTTCTGCCAACACTCTCCTGGAGAAAGTGAGTGTGTGTGCTTTAATCCAGATTTACAAATGAGCATTTGCATTGTGGAATGGGTATAACAGAAAAGAAAAAGAGAAAAAGGGACCTTAATAAGAGACAGTTGAAGTGGTAAAACATGTATTCCAGGCTGAGCAGGGAAAGAACTGATACAGGAGCCTGACAGTAGTGGATAAAGGAGAAAATATAGAGACAGGAGCTCTTGATAGATTTGAAGGGCAGGTGCCATTAGTAGTAAAGGAGTGAGAGATAGAAACAGAGAATCATATTAAGAATATAGAAAATAGGGTTAAGGATCAAGGATTGGGTAGCTCAAGTAAAGTAGAAATAAAGGCTATTATAAGAAATAAAAAGGAAAATGAAAATAACTCATGTTTATTGGGTATCTGTTTTGTTTTAGCCACTGGAGATGATGAGCTTAAGACACTGAAAGCTAGAAACGTGGCTGAATTTTTTTTTGATGTCAGAGTCACCCAGGACAATGGCAGGATGTTGAGAAAAAGAGAAAGACTATCACATATGCCAAGTGTTATAATGAGTAACAGAGAATGAGCTGGCCCTTTTCATAGCAGCAGCAAATTGTGTGTATGACAAGGGACACAATACAAATAATAAGGCTTGAAGGAAGAGGAGCTTTTGCAAGGGGTTGAAAAACTTCAATTATCTAGAATTGACATTGGACTTCAAGAACTCCAAATGTGCCTTCTTTCCCTGTAGTACACAACCCAAAGGAAAATCATTTTTTTGGCTTTTTAAAATAATTATTATACTTTGAGTTCTGGGGTACATGTGCAGAACGTGCAGGTTTGTTACATAGGTATACATGTGCTATAGTGGTTTGCTGCACCCATCAACCCATCATCCACATTAGGAAAATCAGTTTTTACTTCAGAATACTTCAGCAGAAGTGGTATAATTGAGGTAAGAAGTGTGTGTCACCTAAGGCCAGATGGTAAAGAAAGAGTTAAGAGTAGATGAATAAATTAGCTATTGCTGAATAACAATGGATTTCAAAAATCTAAAAGTATACATTAGTAAGGATTTATTTAATGTATGTGTCTCTGGTGGATGGGGTTGGCTTATCTATGCTGGACTTGGCTCAGTCAACTTACATAGGACATCCTTGTACCATACGTATATTATCCTCCCCCTTAGACAGAGAATGATAGACCTATGGTACAAGGTATATATGTTACAAGTACGCTCTTCTCAGGGCAGTGCCAGAGGTGCAAGGGAACAGTAGCCCAGCGGAAAAAGTATACGTTGTGCTTCTGCTGCTTTATATATGACCACTAAGATCTCATTATCCAAAGCAAGTCAGACAGACAAGTCCAATACCAATGGAGTGAAGAAGCATGCCACTCCCACAGGAGTAAAATAAATAAATGAATAATCAGCTATACCATAGAAGGGGAGTTGGATTATGGTCAGTTGTAGCTCTGGAGGGTGCAAGTAAAGTTAGGAACATAAAGGAGGTTCAGAGGTAAAAAGAGAATGCACAAAGAAGATGTTCTAATCAGAATTGAGAGAAGGATTCAGAGGTGCACAAATTTTTCAAAGCAATGTGCTCGATGTGGACTGTAGAAGAGAGGAATGATTGGAGTTAACTGTGCTGATGGTTCCCATTGGAATTCTGGTGAAAAGTTCTTTTGGAGAGTTGTTTCTAGGCAGTTTGCTCCCCAGGATGAAAGGATATTTCCTAAGTTTCCAAATATTAACTGATAATGACACATCAACAATATCAATACAATATGAAAGTAATCTGTAATCCTTCAAGATTTTAGTCATGCTGTACTTCTCCTCCTAAGTGTGTCTGGATTATTTAATAGACTCTGGTTGTCTAAATTTATGCTGATGGCTGAGGTACAAACTGAGGTGGAAGGTTGGATCTGCCCATAAATAATTTCATGGATTATTTGGTATCCATGTGAATTCTAATTATGGTTTCAACTGCCTCCAAGAAAAGGCATATCTTACTTTAATGCACTTCACTTTATTGCACTTTGCAGTTTTTTTTAATAAATTGAAGGTTTGTGACGACCCTGTGATGAACATGTCTATCAGTGCCACTTTTCCAACAGCATGTGCTTACTTTATGTCTCTGTGTCACATTTTGGTAATATCACAATATTGAAAACTTTTTCATTATTTTTATATCTGTTATGTTCATCTGTGATCAGTGATCTGTGATATTACTATTGTAATTGTTTAAATGTACCCCAAACCACATCATAAAAGTTGACAAACTTAATTGATAAATGTTCTGTGTGTTCTAACTGTTCCACTGACCTGCCATTCCCCATCTCTTTCTTTCTCCTCATGCCTTCCTATTCCCTGAAGTATGCTAATATTAAAATTAGGCCAATTAATAACCCTACAATGGCTTCTAAGTGTTCCAGTGAAAGGAAGAGTTGCATGTCTCTCACTGTAATTCAAAACCTAGAAACGATTAAGCTTAGTGAGAAAGGCATATTGAAAGCCAAGACAGGCTGAAAGTCACATCTCCTGCAACAGTTAGCCAAGTTGTGAAAGCAAAGAGAAAGTCCTTGAAGGAAATTCAAAGTGTTACTCTAGGGAACACAGAAATGATAAGAAAGCAAAACAGCCTTAATGCTGATATGGAGAAATTTTCAGTGGTCTGGGGAGAAGATCAAACCAGCCACAACATTCCCTCAGGCTCAAACCTAATCAAGAACAAAGTCTTAACTCTCTTCAATTCTGTGAAGGCTGAGAAAGGTGAGGAAACTGCAGAAAAATTTTCAAGCTAGCAGAAGTTGGTTCATGAGGTTTAAGGAAATAATCTATCTCTATAATGTAAAAGTACAAGGTGAAGCAACAAATTCTGATGTAGAAGCTGCAGCAAATTATCCAGAAGATCTAGTTAAGATCATTGCTAAAGGTACATGAAACAACAGACTTTCAATGGAGATTAAACAGCCTTATATTGGAAGAATATGCCACCTAGAAGTTCAATAGCAAGAGAGGAGAAGTCAAGACCTGGTTTAAAACTTCAAAGGACAGGCTGACTCTCTTATCAGGGTCTTAAGCTAGTGGCTTTAAGTTGAAGCCAATGCTCATTTTCCACTCTAAAAATACTAGGGACCTTAAGAACTATGCTGTATTTACTTAACCTGTTCTCTGTAAAGTTTGAACAACAAAGCCTGAATGACAGCATATCTGTTTATAACATCATGTACTGAATATTTTAAACCTACTGTTGAGACTTACTGCTCAGAAAAAGAGTCCTTTCAAAATATCACTGCTGATTGACAATACACCCAAGAGCTCTGATGGAGATGTACAAGGAGATTAATGTTGTTTACATGCCTGCTAATATAACATTCATCCTGGAGTCCATGGATCAGGGAGTAATTTTGACTGTTACATCTTATTATTTAAGAAATACATTTCAGGCTGGGAACAGTGTGGCTCATGTGTGTAATCCCAGCACTTTGGGAGGCTGAGTCAGAAGGATCACTTGAAGCCAGAAGTTTGACACCAGCCTGGGCAACAAAGCAAGATTGTTTCTACAAAATATAAAAAATAGTAGCCAGGCGTAGTGGTGCATGCTTGTAGTCCCAGTGACTTGGGATACTGAGGTGGGAGGAACACTCAAGAGTACCAGGCAGCTGTGATGGTGACACTGCACTCCAGCCTGGGTGACAGAGGGAGACCTTATCTCTGAAAAAAAAAAAAATCATTTTATAAGTTTAGCTGCCATAGATAGTGATTTCTCTGATGAATATGAGAAAAGTAAATTGAAGGAAACCTCTGGAAAGGATTCACCACTCCAGATGCCATTTAGAACATACATAATTCATGGGAGGAGGTCAAAATATCAACATTAACATGAGAGTTTGGAAAAAGTTGACTCCAACCCTCAGGGGTGACTTTGAAGGCCTCAAGGCTTCAGTGGAGGAAGTCACTGCCAATATGGTAGAAATAGCAAGAGAACTAGAATTTAAAATGGAGCCTGAAGATGTGACTGAGTTGCTGCAATCTCAGGATCAAATTTTAATGGATAAAGAGTTGCTTCTTATAGATAAGCAAAGAAAGTGGTTTATTGAGATGGAATCTTCTCCTGGTGAAGATGCTATGAACATTATTTAAATGAAAATAAATAATTTAAAATATTACATAAACTTAGTTGATAAAGCAGCAGCAAGATTTGGGAAGATTGATACCCAATTTTGAAAGAAGTTCTATTGGTAAAATGCTATCAAACATCATTGCATGCTTCAGAGAAATCTTACATGAATGGGAAAAGTCAATTGATATGGCAAACATCATTATTGTCTTATTTTTAAAAATTGCCACAACCACCCCAGCTTTCATCAACCACCACTCCGATACGTCAGCCGTCAATGTCAAAACAAGACCCTCCATCAGTGAAAAGATTATGACTTGCTCAAGCCTGAGATCATTATTAGCATCTTTTAATAATAAATTATTTTTAGTTACGGTATTACATTGTTTTTATAGACATAATGCTATTGCATACTTTGTAGACTACAGAAGAGTCTACAAACATAACTTTTATGTGCACTTTGAAACCAAAAACTTCAAGTGACTCGCTTTATTGCAATATGTACTTTATTGTGGTCTGGAACTAAACCCCCAGTATCTCCAAGGTATTCCTGCACTGATTTGGGAATTAAATAAGGTCTTCTACTTAGCTACCTGATTGCTTACAAAATTAAGAAAATAAAAAGCATCTTTGCAACATTTTGTTTGATAATTCTTGCACTGATTTGAAAGGAATTTTAACACAATTGTGGATTATTTAAAAAAAATTAAGGTGAACTGATAGTTAATACCTGAGAACCTTTGGCTCACCAAATTTGCAGCTCTGCAACTGCAAACATTCTTCACTGTGAAAGTCCTCCAGAGCGATTACTATATTTCTCTTCTCCCCTTTCCAAATACATATATATTTAGTATGTTAACTATTTTTAAATATAGTCTATTTGCTATATCAATATTAAAAATTTTAAAATACCAAGATGGTATGAAACAAATTTGAATCAAAATAATTTTTACATTTGCTGTCTGTTCTGTGCAGTGGTGGTTAGGCTTGTAGCTTTGATAAAGGGAGAACTGTGAGCATGTGTCACCTGTGTATTATAATTGCAAAATGCCAGAAGGAGAGTCTTGAATTTTTCAAGGGCCCTTAATGACTCCCAAGACATTGGGTTGTAGCATGGATCTTGTTGAGAGAATATAAACTCAGTGTGACAGGAAAATAATCATCTAGCTAGAATGTAGAGAAGTGAAAAGTACTTAACATTCACTCTTAATTGTTTGAATGGTCAATAGGGAATTTAATTTTATAGAAGGTATTTTTAAAAATCATTCAACCTGACAAAATCATAGTCAAAGGATGGAAGGAGGGATGGAGATACAGAAATATATTATTTAAGTTATATTTATAAAGAGCACAGACCTATTCATTCTCTTTCTCTGAGCAAAAAGGCTCAGAAATGATGTCCCAAAGGCATATAAGCTGGAACAAATTAAGCCATGAATGACAATAAAAACATAATAGAAAAATATAATTGCATTATTTAAATTATTCAGAAAAAGAATGCTAAAAACTTAATAAGGTCATCATGTAGCGTAATGACAATGTGTGAAATGTTAATCCTATGTGATTTTTGAAACAAATTTTCTGATATGAAAGTAATGCAAATACTGTTCAAATTTTGGGAAAGGTATTAAAAAAGAAGATGAAAATAAGAGTTAAAATCCAAAAATAAAAAGTTAAAAATTCTATACTGTTTCCCAGTATTTTCTTTTTAATTATTGTTGACTGACTATAAAAGCAATGAGTTCCTTATAGAAATACAATATAGTCTAAAATAAGCCTTATCTATAATTTATCCGGCAGATAACAACTGTTAGCATTTTGAGATACATGTGAATTTGCAATAATTTAAGCATGCGTTTTTATCCAAAAATTACAACATCTACTATTTTACTCACTTGCAGCTTTATTAACAATACATTTTGAACATTTTGTATGTCATTAAATATTCTTATTATCCCTCATTTTAATGATTGCATAGATTTCCATTACATTTCAGACATAATGTGTTGAGAAAATGTACTTTTAATGAAAAGTACTGGGATGAAGATGGGGGAGCACGCACATTAATACTTTTCTAGGTAAAGTCTGGGTTCATTAAAGGTTTTCATAGATATTTTCAAGAAATTTTCATTACAGTTTTACCAGATTTTCCTCTTGTCTACAGCTCATGGTTGGGTCTCTTTCTCTGCAACTACAGCTTGCCAATCTTTGCAAACTATAATATCTTTGCCAAACAGAAAATTAGAGCTTATTACTTAAAACTCATTTTCTCTCTTTCTCTCTTTCTTTTTACTGATAGGTGATAGATGCACATATTTTAAGGGTACATGTGAGTTATATTTTGATATTTGATATATTCATATAATGTGTAATAACCAAATCAGAATAATTGGAATGTCCATCACCTGAAACAGTTATCTATTCTTTATCCTGTGAACATTCAAATTATTCTCTATTAGTTATTTTGAAATGTACAATAGATTATTTTTGCTATAGTCACTGTACTGATTTATCAAACACTGTATCTTGTTTCTTCTATCTAACTGTTTCTTTGTATTCATTAATCAATCTATCTTCATTCCCCTCTCATTCCTACCCTTCCCTTCCTCTGGTAATCACTGATTTACCCTCTATCTTCATAAAATCCACTTTCATAGTGATACTGGAGGAGGGCAGGGAAGTGCTGGGTAGAAAAAGTCGGGTCCCTGGCTAGGGCTGCACTCCTGGGCCTGTGCCAGCGGACCTAGGTGAGGACAGGCATTTCTGTTTTCGTGTCCAAATGTTGCATTTCCCAAGACCACCCTGGACCGCCACACCTCCATCCTGTGCCTATAAAAACCTTGAGACCCTACCGCGCATGCACAGAAGAGGCTGGACGTCAGGAGGAATACACCAGCGGAAGAACACACAAGCGGCTGGACGTTGAGAGGATGTCCAGAGGGGCATCTCGGCAGAAGAGCACTAACTGGCACCAGCAGGCCGTCAGGCCACCGACCAGTGGAATTACATGGAGTTTGGCTGGGGCGGTCAGAGGAGAGTCGGGGTCCCTGACAGGCCCGACTCCAGGGAAAAACCACCTTCCCATTCCATCTCCCTTCTTTTGCTGAGAGCTACCTCCACTCATTAAAACCTTGCATTCATTCTCCAAGCCCACTTGTGATCCAATTCTTCCCGTACACCAAAGCAAGAACCGCGAGATACAGAAAGCGCTCTGTCTTTGTAATAAGAAAGGGGTCTAACTGAGCTGACTAACACAAGCCGCCTATGGATGGCAAAACTAGAAGAGTAGCCTGTAACACACACCCACTGGGGATTCAGGAGCTGTAAACATTCAACCTTAGATGCTGCTGTGGAGTCAGAGCCCCACAACCTGCCCGTCTGCATGCTTCCCCTAGAGGTCTGAGCAGCGGGGCACTGAAGAAGCAAGCCACTTCCCCTGTCGCACGCGAGGGGGACAAGTGAACTTTTCCAGTTTCAACTGGGGCTTGTCTAGGATTGCAGAAGGTGAGTGTGAACGAATGCGAAATTGTCGGGTATGTCTCTCTAACAAAACCCTGCCACCTTTCTTTCCTGAGGGTAAGAGGCTGTTTCCCTTCAGGGAGTTTTAAACTGCCCTAATCAGGCTGGTCAAAATCCCACACTTCCCTCTTTTCTCTCTCTCAGGGTTTGAAATCGCCCTTATCTCTTCCTTTATAATGTTAAAAATTTTGCTACAGGCTATGACAAAGTTACTAAGTAAAAAGAGCATTTTGCGGCCGGGCGCGGTGGCTCACGCCTGTAATCCCAGCACTTTGGGAGGCCAAGGCGGGCGGATCAGGAGGTCAGGAGATTGAGACCATCCTGTGAATGGTGAAACCCCATCTCTACTAAAAATACAAAAAAATTAGCCGGGCATGGTGGCGGGCGCCTGTAGTCCCAGCTACAGGGGAGGCTGAGGCAGGAGAATGGCGTGAACCCGGGAGGCAGAGCTTGCAGTGAGGCGACATCGCGCCGCTGCACTCCAGCCTGGGCGACAGAGTGAGACTCCATCTCAAAAAAAAAAAAAAAAAAAAAAAATTTGGCTCAGCCACCAAAGATGCAAATCAGACCAATTATGCCCACCTCTAACTTTACCATCCACCTAGGTAAGGGTACTCTTGCCAAATCCCAAAAACAAGAGACTAAAAAGCAGCCATGTATGCCTGCACCTCGACAGCCACAGGCACGCACTGTTCAGGACACCTCTCCTTATCTTTTCCCCTCCCAGCTCGGGCAACTGGGCGTGCCTGCAGCCCGCAAAGGCCAAACCAAACAGCCACGTGGCGGGGTGGGAGAAAGCCACAGCGGTAGCCGCGATTCCACAGGGCCAACAGAGGGCTGCTTCTCACCCACTGCGCCAACGGGTTGTTTCTTCCCTGGCTAAGGAATTTAACCTGGTCTGAACCAGGGAAAAGATGTAAGGATTAAAGGGGCCCACTTTCACTGAGCAAGAAGTTCTTCCCCCAGGGTCTCCCCACTTTGCCCCTTAAACTGTTTTTCTTTCTCTCTCTCTCTCTCTTTTTTTTCTAAATGAGAGGACTCCCCAGCTACCAGCACTCCGTTTCTGATAGGGAAGTTAACGGAGGAGCAACCCCTGCTGGCTGATAACTGCAAATTTGGCAGGGCACTTGTGACGCTCTAAACAGATACAAACAGCCTCTAAAATTACCTTTTCAATCTCAAACTCGATTCAAAACTTCAGGCTGAGGGACTAGGAAGAAAAATCAGGTCTGAAGGATCCAAAGCCAGGCAAGAGGCACTGAAGAAGCGAGCCACTCCCCCATCACATGCTCTGTGAGGGGGACAAGGGAACTTTTCCCATTTCAATTGTTCCTACATATGAGTGAGAACATATGACATATGTCTTTCCGTGCTTGGCTTATTTTACTTAACATAACGACCTCCAATCCCATCCATACTGCTGCAAATGACAAGATTTCATTCATTTTTTTTTTTTTTTGATTTAATCATATTCCATTGTGTATATATACCACGGTTTCTTCATCCATTCATCTGTTGATTGACGCTTAGGTTGATTCTATATCTTGACTATTGTGAATAGTGTTGTAATAAAAATGTGAGAGCAGATATCTCTTCAATATATTAATTCTCTTTCTTTTGGATATATACCCAGTAGTGGGATTGGTAATAGGTCATATGGTAGTACTATTTATAGATTTTTCAGGAACCTACATAGTGTTTCCCAAAGTGACTGTACTAATTTATATTCCTAACAACAGTATACAAGCATTACCTTTTCTTCACATCCTCACCAACATTAGTTGTTTCTTGTCTTTTTGATAAAAGTCATTTTATCTGGGGTGAAATGATATTTCATTGTGGTTTTGATTTGCATTTCTCTGAGATTAGTGATTTTGAGCATTTTTTTTTCCATAGACTTTTTGTCATTTGTATGTCTTCCTCTGAGAAATGTTTATTAAGGTATTTTGCTCATTTAAAGTAGGATTTTTTTGTGAGTATTTTTGTGTTACTTATATATTATTATTATTAATCCCTTGTCAGATGGATAGTTTGCAAATATTTTCTCACACTCCTTGGGTTGTCTCTTCACTTTGCTGATTGTTTCCCCTGTAGTGCAGATGCTTTTTAGCTTGATTTAATCCCATTTGCCTATTTTTGCTTCTGTTGCTGGTGCTTTTGAGGTTTTACTAAAAAAATCTGTGCCCAGACCAATGTCTTGAATTATTTTCCCAATGTTTTCTTCTAATAGTTTCATGTCTTAGGTTTAATTCTTGAATCCATTTTGATTTATTTTTGTATGTGGTGAGAGATAGGGGTCAAGTCTTATTCTTTTGCAGGTGATTATCTAGTTTTCCTGACACCATTTATTGAAGAGACTGTCCTTTCCTCAAGGCATGTTCTTGGTCACTTTGTTGAAAATGAGTTGGTTGTAAATGCATAGATTTATTTTTGGGTTCTGTATTGTGTTCCACTGAACTATGTTTCTGTTTTTCTGTCAGCACCATGCTGTTTTGGTTACTACAGCACTGTGTATTTTGAATTCAGGTAGTGTGATGCCTCCAGCTTTTCCTTTTGCTCAGGATTTATTTGATTATTTGAGGTCTTTTGTGGTTTCATGTACATTTTTAGAATGTTTCCTCTATTTCTGTGAAGAATGGCTTTGTACAGATTAGTTTGGATAGTATTGATATTTTAACAATATTCTTCCAATCCATGAGCTTGGAACATCATACCATTTTTGCATCCTCTTCAGTTTTTTTCATCAGAGTTTTATAATTTTGCTTGTAGAAATCTGAAGCTTCATATATTTTGTAGCTATTGTAAATAGGATCACATTCTTGATTTATTTTTCAGATTGCTTCCTGTTGGTCTATAGAAATGCTACTGATTTTCATATGTTGATTTTGTATTCTGTAACTTTACTGAATTCATTTATTCATTCTAACAGTTTTTGGTAAAGTATTCAGGGTTTTCTCAAAATAAGGTCATGTCATCTGCAAACAAAGCTAATTTGACTTTTTCCTTTCCAATTTGAATGCTCTTTCATTCTCTTGTCAGAGAGCTCTGGCTAGAACTGAGATTTGCACTAATTCTTACTTAGGCATTTGCTGCAATTTTCTGGTGAGCAATCTGGACCTGCAGTTTTCTTTGTGGTAAGTTTTTTTTTTTAATTTATACATTTATTTTTTAAAACAGTTTAGGACGCTTCAGATTTTTCATTTTTTCTTATGTCAATTTTGGTAGTTGTATTTTTCTTACAATACTTTAAAAATTTTTTTTCTAACAACTATGTAAGTTTTATGTTGAACAAAGCTGGTGCAAGTGAGCATCCTTGTCTTGTTCCAGATCTTAGAATAAAGGCTTACAATTTTTCCCTATTCAGTATGATATTAGCTGGGGGTTTGTCATATACGGTTTTTATTGTTTTGAGGTATGTTCCTTCTATACCCTGTTTGTTGAGTGGGGTTTTTTTTTTTAATCATGAGGAGATGTTGAATTTTGTCAAATATTTATTCAGAATCTATTAAAATGATCAAATGGTTTTTGTTTTTGCTTCTGTTAATGTGGTATATCACATTTATTGATTTGTGTATGGTGTGTCCTCCTGGCATTTCTGGGATGAATCTCATTTGATTATGGTGACTAATTTTTTAATGCGTTATTGAATTTGGTTTGCTAGTATTTTGTTAAGGTTTTGCATCAATGTTCATCAGGCATATTGGCCTGTAGTTTTCTTTCTTTGTTGTGTCCTTGATTGGTTTTGGTATCAGAGTAACTCTGGATTCATAGAATGAGTTTAGAAGTATTCCCTCCCCTTCTGTTTTTTTTTTTTTGAAAAGTTTGAGTAGAATGGGTATCATTTCTTGAAATGTTTTATAGAACTCAGCAGTGAAGCTATGATGTCCTGGGCTTTTTTTAATGGAAGATATTTTATTATGGTTTTAATATCATTACTCTTACTAGTTATTGGTTTGTTCAGGTTTTCTATTTGTATGTGCTATTTCTAAATTGTACATGTCCAGGAATTTATTCATTTCCTGTAAGTTTTCCAATTTGTTGGTGTATAGTTGTTTATAATGCTCTCCAGTGATTCTTGATATTACCATGGTCTTTGTCTTACGTGTTCTTTTTTATTTTTCGTTTTATTTGTTAGGGTCTTTTTTTTAATCTAGCAAAAGCTTGGTTGATTTTATCTTATTATTGTTATTATTATTTTTTGAGACAGAATCTTGCTGTGTCACCTAGGCTGGAGTAGTGAAAAGGCATGATCTTGGCTTATTGCAACCTGCACCTCCAGGGCTCAAGTGATCCTTCTGCTTCAAAATTCCAAGTAGCTTGGACTACAGGTGTGCACCACCACACCTGCCTAACTTTTGTGTCTTTTGTAGAGATGAGGTTTCACCATATTGTTCAGGTTGTTTTTGAACTCCTAAGCTCAAGTGATCCTCTCACTTTGGCCTCCCAAAGTGCTGAGATTACAGGCATGAGCCAAGATGCTCAGCCTTTGTTTATCTTTTCAAAAAACAGACTTTATTTTTGTTGAAATTTTATATTATTTTAGTCTCAATTTTATTTATATCTGCTCTGATCTTTATTATTTCTTTCCTTCTAACTTTGGTTTTGTTTGTTCTTATTTTACTAGTTCCTTGAGGTGTAATTTTAGGTTGTTAATTTGAAGTATTCTACTTGTTTGAGATAGGCATTTATTGCTATAAACTTCACTCTTAGTACCACTTTTGCTGTACCCTATAGATTTTGGTATGTTTTATTTCTACTTTCATTTGTTTCAACAAAGTTTAAATTTCCTTCTTAATATCTTCATTGATCCATTGATTGTTCAGGAGCATGTTAATTTCTATGTGTTTGTGTAGTTTCTAAGGTTCCTCTTGTTATTGATTTCTAGTTTCATTTCATTGTGCTCAGAAAAGATATTTGATGTAAGTTTTACTTTTCTGAAAAGTAGTAATCAAGGCTTGAAGTGTGAAACAAGTGTCAAGATTTGTTTTGTGGCTTTAAATAATTTTATTTTAAAGAACGTTCATGTGATGATAAGAAAAATGTGTATTCTGCCACAGTTGGATAAAATGCTCTGTAAATGTCAGGCCTAATGTTGTCTAGCATGTAGTTTAACCCTGACGTTTCTTACAGATTTCTGTCTGGATTATCTGTCCATCAGTGAGAGTAGGGTTTTGAAGTCCCTAACTATTGTATTTCAGTCTATCACTCCCTTTAGATATGTTAATATTTGCCTTACATATTTGAGAGCTCTGGAGTTGAGTGCAGAGATATTTATTATTGTTGTATCCTCTTGCTGAATTGAGCCCTTTATCATTACATAGTGACTTTCTTTATGTATTTTTACAATCTTAGGTTTGTGATCTATTTAACTGATAAAAATATAGCTACTCCTGTTCTCATCTGGTTTTAGGCTGCATTAAAAATAGCTGTCTCCACCCCTTCACTTTCAGTCTATGTGTCTTTAGAGGTGAGGCAGCATATAGTTGGATCTTGTTTCTTTATCCATTTAGCCATTCTATGTGTTTTACTTGGAGAACTGAATTCATTTACATTCAATATTATTACTGATAAGTACAGAATTACTACTATCATTTTGTTACTTGCTTTCTGGTTGTTTAGTAACTCTTCTTTCTTCATTTCTTCCTTTGTGATTAAGTGGTTTTCTCTGGGAGTATGATTTAATTCATTGCTTTTTTTAGTGTATTTATTATAAGTTTTTGTTTTACGGTTATCATGAGGCTTATAAAACTATGTTATAGATATAACAAATTACTTTAAACTGGTGACAACTGTATTAGTCCATTCTCATGCCGCTAATAAAGACATACCTGAGACTGGGTAATTTATAAAGAACAATTTAATGGACTCACAGTTCCACATAGCTGGGGAGGCCTCACCACTATGGTGGAAGGCAAAGGAGGAGCAAAGGCACGTCTTAAATGGCAGCAGGCAAGAGAGCATATACAAGCGAACTGTCCTTTATGAAATGATTGTAAAATCAGATCTCATGAGGCTTCAAGTGAACAGCATGGGAAAAATCTGCCCCAATGATTCAATTACTTCCCACTGGGTCCTTTTCATGACACATGGAGATTATGGGAGCTACAATTCAAGATGAAAATTGGGTGGGGACACAAAGCCTAACCATATTATTCCACACCTGGCCCCTCCCAAATCTCAGTCCTCACAATTCAAAACACAATCATGTCCTCCCAACAGTCCCCCAAAGTCTTAACTCATTCCAGCATTAACTCAAAAGTCCAAGTCCAAAGTCTCATCTGAGACAAGGCCAGTCCCTTCCACCTATGAGCCTGTAAAATCAATAGCAAGTTAGTTACTTCCTAAACACAAGGGAGGTACAAGCATTGGGTAAAGATACCCATTCCAAATAGGGGAAATTGGTCAAAACGAAGAGTCCACAGGCCCCATGCAAATCCAAAACCCAGCAGGGTAGTCATTAAACCTTAAAGCTCCAAAATGATCTCCTTTGACTCCATGTCTCACATCCCGATCACGCTGAAGCAAAGGTAGGTTCCCATGGTCTTGGGCAGCTCTTCCCCTGTGGCTTTGCAGGGTACAGCCCCCTTCCTGGCTGTTTTCAAGGGCTCTCACTGAGTGTGGCTTTTTCAGGTGCATAGTTCAGGCTTTCAGTGGATCTACCATTCTGGGGTCTGGAGGACAGCAGTCCTCTTCTCACAGCTCCACTAGGCAGTGCCTCAGTGGGGACTCTGTGTGTGGGCTCCCACCCCACAGTTTCCTTCAGCACTGCCCTAGCAGAGGTTCTCCATGAGGGCTTTGCCCCTGCAGCACCCCTCTGCCTGGACATCCAGGCATTTCCATACATCCTCTAAAATCTATGTGGAGGTTCCCAAACCTCAATTCTTGACTTCTGTGCACCCGCAGGTCCAACATCATGGGTAAGACACCAAGACTTGGAGCTTGTACCCTCTGAAGCAAAGGCCTGAGCTGTAGGTTTGTCTCTTTTAGTGACAGCTGAAGTGCCTGGGACACAGGGCACCAAGTCCCAAGGCTGCACACAGCAGAGGGTCCCTGAACTCAGCCCAGGAAACCATTTGTCCCTTCTAGCCCTCCGGACCTGTGATGGGTGGAGTTGTCATGAAGATCTCTGACATGGTCTGGAGACATTTTCCCCATTGTCTTGATGACTAACATTTGGTTCCTCATTACTTATGCAAATTTCTGCAGCTGCCTTGAATTTCTCCCCAGAAGATGGAGTTTTCTTTTCTACCACATCATGCAAATTTTCCAAACTTTTATGCTCTGCTTCCTCTTGAATACTTTGACACTTAGAAATTTATTTTGCCAGATACCCTAAATCATCTCTCTCAAGTTCAAAGTTCCATAGACCTCTAGGGCAGGGGTTAAATGCCACAAGTCTCTTTGCATAGTCCTTTAGTCCTTACACTAGATTTATGCCTGGATTTCATATCATAATTACAGTGTCAGCCTATTTTGAATTTCTTTGCATACTTACTTTTACCAGTGGGTTTCACACCTTCAAATCTTTTCTTTTTGCACATTAGTGTTTTTGTCTTTGAGAATGAAGAATTCCCTTGAGCATTTCTTGTAAGATGAGTCTGGTGGTTATGAATTCCCTCAGCTTTTGTTTGTCTGAAAAAGACTTTATTTCTCTTCCATCTTTGAAGTGTATTTTTGTAGGGTCCAAAATTCTCAGTTGGCAGTGTTTGATTGTGCTTCCAGCACTTTGAATATTTCATCCCACTCCCTCCTGGCCTGTATAGTTGTTGTTGAGAAGTCTGTTGTCAGATGAATTGGATCTCCTTTATATGTTATTTGCCTCTCTCCTCTTGCTGCTTTTAAGATTCTCTCTTTGTTCTTGATTTTTGAGAGTTTGATTATTATATGCCTTAGATTAGTCTCATTTGGGTTTAATTTATTTGGTGACCTATGGTCTTCCTGTAGGTTTATAACTTTCTTAAGTTTCAAAAAGTGTTCTATTATTATTTCTTTAAACAAGCTTTCTCCCCTTTGCTCTTACTCCAATCCCACTTGAACAACAATAATTCTTAGATTTGCTCTTTTGAGGTAATTGTCTATATCTTGTAGGCATTCCTCATTCCTTTCCACTTTTTTCTTTTCTTTCCTCTGACTGTGTATTTTCCAATAGCTTGTCTTTGAGTTAACTGATTGTTTGCTTGATCCAGTCTGCTTTTTGAGATCTTCTAAGAAATTTTTCAGTATAGCAAATATATTTCTTATATCCAGGATTTTTAAATTATTTTATTTAAACCTCTGTTAAATTTCTCTGATAGATTTCTGAGTTGCTTTTCTGTGTAATTTTAGAGATCACTGAATTTTCTTAAAGTTTCTATTTTGAATTCTTGACGAGAGAGCTTGCCTGTCACCACCTCATTATAGTCTGTCTCTGGTTTCTTGCTTTGTCTACTTTGAGAGATCACAGTTCTCTGCTTGTTATTGTTTATTGTGGATAGAAATCTATGCCTTCACATGCAGGGATATGTTATTTATTCTATGCAGGTATAAGTTATTTATTCTAGTGTTCTCTATCTTGTTTTTCTTTTTATTAGTTATGTTTGCTTAGCAATTTCTTTGCAACATACCATTGCAACTCACCATTTAATGTCTTTTTTGCTAAGTCACTGCCTTGTTTTTAGCACTAGATGGCACTTTAAGTTCAGGTTTGCCTCTGCTCCAGTAAATTTCAAAGTGCTGTTCATCCTGAATTGGGGAGGTCCCAAAGGGAATATCCTGGCAGTGTGGAAAGGCTGATTAGGGGTTTATGTTCGGGGGACTTGTGTAACATAGTGCCTATAGCATGGTGCTGCTGAACAGCTACTCTGATTTGGTGGTTTCTTTGGCTGAGATATAGAGCAGTGTTTTCCAGTTTGGAGACAGTAATCCCACCTCCCCTTTGTCTCCAGCTGTCATCAGGAATTTTTATCCCTTTAGGCACTTGTGAGGCTTTCTGTCAGTTGAGGCAGGGACAGGCCTTTTGCCAGCAAATTCAACATGGTGGGTAAGCTGGTTGTCCATCTCTATCTCAATTTTTTTTTTTTAGTATAGTAACTGTGAGTCAGGGGAAAATTTTCTGCACTCTTGGGGCCTAGCAGATTGGGGGAAGGGTGTTGTGGATCAAAAGTTTGATTCTCTTACAGTCTGCATGAATTTTTTTTAACCTTTCTTTGGCTCCCACAACTGTCTCATTTTCATATTTGAGTTCTGGAATATTGCTGGTGATAATCTCAGCACTATATATTTGTTTTTGGTTTTCTGTGGGTGGAGGAGTGAAGCCAACTCACTTCTACTCTGCCATTTGGTTCTCATTTCTTTAACTTTCAGAAATATTTTTGACATTTAGGTGCTGTATTTTACGTAGATGTAGACTACAGAACTGTGTTCAAACTAGGACATTTGTTTTACCGTATGCTAATATATTCACTTGTTTGGGTTACATTTTTCAATCAATTTTCATGTTAAAAATAAGGTTTAATATAAACAGGCAGAACCCAGGAGTTGGTGGACACAATGCATATTAAGATATTTAGATTCTTCCTTACATGCCCAAATATCTGATTTACAAATTTATGCAAAACCTTTCTGATTTAGATTCAATGCAATTTTCATTTTAATGAAAGAGACTGGGAAGTCTTTTTTTGTTGTTTTGTTATATCACTACTTAATACAGTAGAAATAGGCAACTATATATTGCTATAAAATGTTTTATCCAGTTTGGTATTATAAGAATTAATGATTCCTACAATAATAAAATTCTTCTTAAAATAGTATTTACATTTCATGTGTAAACATTCTTGCTCGACTCTCCTTTATTTGATGAAATTTTCTTCGCCTTCTAAATACTCTTGACCTACAGATGCCAAATAATTCTTCTGTTATCAGATATTGGAGTTGTAATTCTTTTTTCTTCATTCATTTCTCTTTTTTTCTTAGTTTTAAGTAAGTTTTAAATAATCTGTGCTTTTAAACCAAGAATCTAGAAGAACATATCTGAGAATCAACAATCCCAATATATTTACCCATATTGTCTCAAATTCTCCTTTTAAAAAGTTACATGAAACAAAAATCAAGTTACCTTATGGTAAGTTACAATGGTAATTAGCGTTTTCTAGTTCTTATTATGTTGCTGTGTCATGGAACTTGTTTCCTGCTGTAGATCGTCAAAGAAAAATTTGGAGGACAGAATTAAATAAAGACTTTATTCAAGACTATTCCAATAGGGGAGAATGTCAAGAAGGAAGTTTATCATATGTGATTAGGCCATCTGTATTTGCTAATTGGTGCTCATGGAATTTAGGTTCTTACCTTCCTATAGAGACTGAAAGATAGGGGTTCTTATTTCTCTTAGTGACAACATTTTAAAATGATGCTTTTTCAGCTCCTTGAAAAATGTGTTCGTGGTTTGTAATATTGGCAAGAAGCTGTGAGAAAACTTATATCTTGAAGGGGCAAATTAAGTATCTGTGATGTTTTCTACATAAAATGCTCTAAGAAAAAAGAGTTTGGGGAGCCATAGTCAGGAGGAAACCTGACTAACATTCTGCCAAGCTGTTGTGGGACGTTAAGGTCATGTTGGTTAAAACTCACTTGGAAAAAAAAATTACTCTCCGCCCCACTCTTCCCACTTTTCAAAATTATTAGAGGGCTCAGAGTCAGATCCTATTTGATTTAGAGATTTGATATTCATGGAGCAATTTATAATAGTAGATATAAAACAGTAAGAAAAAATAGGGGAAAAAACCCTTAGCACTTTTTTGGGTTTAAAAAAGAGTATCCCTTAAGAATGCTGTATATTCAATGATGCTTATTGACAAATATTTTTATATTTCCTATCTCAGAGTCATATATAATATTTTAAAATGTTATATGTATTATATGCAACATAATGTTGTGAATAATATTGTGAAACATTTTGTGAAATATTCAACATTTTTGGTCTACATTGATATACATTCTCAGGTTTCATTCATAATGAGAAATATGTAATACCACTTTTTCTATTTTTTAAGTTATTTTAGTTGCTTTGCCAAAGATTTATCTTACTGGCCTTTTCAGAGAAATGTCTTGGATGAGTTCATTAATTCTACCAATATTCTGTTGTCATTAATTTTGGTTTGTAATTTTATTAATTCTTTATTCTGTTTTGTTAAGAGTTATATACACATTTTATAATTTTAAGGTAAATATATAATTACTCTAATTTTTTTGTTTAATTCAAAGACATTTAAAACTCTCAAATTTTCTTTTTGGCTGCATCCCACAGATTTCTTTCCCCATTGCCTTCATTTTCTGGCTATTTTTTATTATTCTTTAATTTCTTATTCAAGAGTTAAGAGCTTTATCTGTTTTCCTTTTTACATTTCTCTTTTTTATCTTTTTATCTTTTTTTTTCTTTTTGTGGAGAATGGAGTCTTGGTATATTGCCATGGCAGGTCTCAAATTCCTGACCTCAAGCTATCCTCCCACCTCTGCCTCCCTAAGACCTGTGATTACAGGTATGAGCCACTGTGCCCAGCATCCTTTTTACATTTCTAAGTAATATTTTGTTTTGGTAAAATATATATAGCATAAAGTTTACCTTATAAACCATTTTAAGGGTACAGTTTTGTGGTATTAAGTACATTCACATTATTGTGCAACCGTGATCATCATCCATCTCCAGAATGCTTTCATTTTTCTCATCTGAAACTCTGTATCTATTAAACATTAACTCCCCATTCTCTACACCCCACAATCCCTGGCAATCACACCACTCTACTTTCTGATTCTATAAATATTCTAGACACCTCATGTAAGTAGAATCATATAATATTTGTCTTTTCATGACTGATTTATTTCATTTAGCATAATGCCTTCAAAGTTTATGCATGTTGTAGCATGTGTCAGAATCTTTCTCTTTTTAAAGGCTGAATAATATTCCATTTTGTGTTTCTACCACTTTTTGTTTATCCATTTATCTGTTGATGGACACTTGGATTGCTTCTATCTTTTGGCAATTGTGAGTAATGCTGCCATGAGCATGAATGTATAATAATCTATTCAAGACTCTGTTTCAATTCTTTTGAGTATATAACCAGAAATAGTGTGCTGGGTCATATGTTAATTTGATGTTTAATTTTTTTTGAAGAATTGCCATAACATCTTCTACAGTGGCTGGAATATTTTATATTCTTACCAAAAATGTATAAAGTTTCCAATTTCTTTATATCCTCACCAACAACTGTGATTTTCTATGTTTTTTTTTTTTTTTGTAATAGCCATCCTAATGAATGTAAAGTGGTATCTCATTGGGGTTTTCATTTAAATTTCCCTAAAAATTAGTAGTGTTAAACATTTTTTGTGTGTGTTTTTTGGCCACCTGCATATATTGTCTGGAGATATAAATTTGGATACCTTCTTTGGAAAAATGTCTATCCAAGTCTTTTCTTCATTTTTTAATCAAGTTTTTTTTGTTGTTGTTACTTTCGAGTTGTAGAAGTTCTTTATATATTCTAGATATAAATTTCTTATCAATATATGATTTGCCAATATTTTCTCTTATTCTGTGGGTTGCCTCTTTATTCTGTCGGTAACGTTTTTGATGCACAAAAGTTTTAAATTTGATGAAATCCAACTTATCTATTTTCTTTTGTTGCCTGTGCTTTTGGTTTCAGATCCAAGAAATCCACTAAACCCACCGTCATGAAGTTTCTTTCTCCTCTGTGTTCTTCTAAGAGTTTTATAGTTCTAGTTATTAGTGTTTAGGCCTTTGATCCACTTTGAGTTATTTTGATTTATTTTGAGTTTTTTTTTTAAATAGTATAAGGGTTCAACTGAAACGACTGTCCTTTCCCCATTGAATGGTCTTGGAATCCTTGTTGAAAATCATTTTACAATATATACAAAGGTTTCTTTCTGAGCTCCATTTTATTCTGTTGGTTGTTTTGTCTGTCTTTTTGTCAGGACCATACTGTTTTTATGTTTTCCTGGGAGAACCATAACCTGGAGCTTCCTAATCTGCATTGTGCTGACAGCAGTCCTCCCAAATTCAGTTTGCAAATTGTGTTATTTATCTTTACTTAGATCACTGAAGTTATAGAATGAGGCTTCCGCTTTTTCTGGTTTTTGAAATGTTTTGAAGTTATGTTGTGGAAACTTAAAATGAAGATATCATTTCTGTTTCTTGTGAATATAATAAAGACAGATGTATAACAAAGTCATGGAAAAATAACACATTTTTTTAAAATTTTAACAATCATAAGGAGCTTCTAAGCCAAATAGTGCTATTTAGTTAGTTAAAAATGAAAGAGATAAGTTTCAAAATAATGTTATTTCTTGCCTTGATCATACAGAAGACATCATTTATTCCGCTTCTCTTATTTTAAGAAAATAATATAATTCTAATTTAATATTTAAAATAGTATTTTCTGCATTGAAAGGTCTTTGCTTGTGCTTTTTCAGATGCTTTAAAATGTTCAGACAACTAAATGAGTTATTAAACAATGTGAACATTAATATAGTTTTAAAAATTACATCAGCTGATAGATTCAATAATAAATAAACTAAATTTTTCTTAAAGATACCTGTTATTTAAACCATATGAAGTCTTAATTAAACTTAGAGAATTAAGTTGAACAATTCACTTGAGCATTTTGATTGCAGTTCATTTTTTAATAATGTGATCTCTGAAGTTTACTTTGTAAAACTCAAAACAAAACAAAGTTTTTGAAAACATATATTTTTTACATTTATAAATTATGTTATTATAGTACTTTATATACCTATTTAGGTATACAGTTACATCTGTGTTTCTGTCATTTTTTATTTGTATATTTAACAGATTTTACTTTACCAGATAAACGGTCATAATTACCTAGGAATGCCTGATACTAGGAAAAGACTACTTAAATTGCAACCACTTGAAATCAGAACCAAAATTTCATAGGGTATTGAGAATCAATATTTTGATTAATACTTATATTGAAAAACAAAAAGTTGAAAATTATGAAGCAATTTGATTTAAAAAAATGAAATCCGTTCATCATAGGCTATGTTACAAAGAACATAGTCTCTTTGTACATGGAGGTGGAACTGTATTACAAAAAGTGAAAAAAGAAAGAAAAAATCATCCTGAGTCTGAGATAGACTTAATTTTCTTGGCAATAGCACAATGTAACAGCCTTCCCTGGGCATTGCCATTGGCAATAATATCAGAAAAAAGATAATATTTCAGGGCTTTGCCAATTTCCCCAAGGGCCTCCTTTAGTCCTTCAACTTTCAAATCATTCTCTTTTGTAGCATCTGTCATATTATGACTGTTGAAATTCGTCTCATTCTAGAAGAGTCTCTTAAGACACTGTCTTTTGGTGAGATTTCAGCAGGTCTCCAATAGTACTTTCATCCACTTCATGAATGACACATTTTTTTTCAATGTTTGAATTTCACTTTATGTTATGTTAGAATAACTTTGATTTAACAAAGTTGAATTGATGACTAGGGACAGGGGTATAAAGAAGGAAAGGATGTTAGGGAAGAGACCAACTTTGTTCATTTTGAAACTTTGTTTCCTGACGTCTGACTTCAGCATGGTATTGAGTTGTTGTTGCAGAGTTTTAAAGATTTGGATTTTCATAAAACATGACTCCACATTTTTAAAATCAATGTTACTTGGAACATAAATGTTTATGACTCATTTTCATTGAGGATATAATTTTTTTCTATTTAATGTTTTTAAAATTGAATTTTATTTTCTCTGATGTAAACACTGAACCACTGCAAGAAAGCAAGCAACCTTTTTTCTTTTTAATTTATCAAATATATTTTTGCTAATTATTCTGTATTTGCCATTTTTGTTTCATAGCTATAGGTAGGTTTCTTATAATCATCAACATTTATGCACTAACTTGACACATTACAGTAGTGTTTTTCATTTAAAAAGCAGGAAATAACTTAGATATTTTATTTATTAGCATAACTCCTATGTTTGATCTTATTTTTGTTATTTTATTTAATATTTTCTAATTCTGTACATTTTTTTTTTCCTGTTTCCTACAATTTTTTTTGCTCTAAACTTTTCTTGTTTTGATAGGCATATTCTAACAGCATCTATGTTTTAAATAGAAAGCAGGAAGGTATTTGCTACAAAATTGTTAGGACATCTAGAGAAACAAATTCTCCTGGGCCTCCAGGAATTATTTCTTGAACATGAAAGAATCGTTCCATCAAAGGAGCTATTATCTTTTAAGTCACTTTGGAAATATTGAGCTTAAGAATATAGTGTTTGAGCTGATATCCAAGGTATAGGAGTGGAAATCAGGAATTACCACCAACCTTACTGCTGCTGCTACTGCTAGCATCACCACCACAATTGTCTGAGAAACTGGGGAATGGACACTGGACTGCTGATGCAGGAAAGCCGTATCTCTACAACCTTGATTGCCAACAGCTAAAACAGTAAAATGGGCCAGACATAATCTTTAATTCACTTCTGCTTTCCAAAGTTTCTGTACTTTTACTTGATTAGTGAGAATTTTTACCCAAAACTCTAGCTGTGAAGGAATCTGGAAAATGCATTGCTTTCCTCTCTGGGATCTGTATAGAAAGTTACCATGGAAGGCAGGTGGGATAGAAATGGAGTGGCCACTCCACAGCATCTAGTCCAAGAGGGTCGTGCTTTATTTATAATTCTACTTGAAGTTGTCTTTAAGATTTTCTGCTTCATAAAATCAGTCTTAAACTCTAATTTTATAATTGTGAGAATTAGGAGATAATTATCAGTCTTTGCTTATACATAACTTAGTGTTTTCTATTACACTGTACTGAAATATTACATGCTAATATATACATATATGTATATATACAGATATAATTATAAATGTATCATATGCATTTTTTCAAAATAATTTCCTCAACTTCTGCTCATAAGTTGATAAGCAGATTCTCAGAGCCATCTTCCATGTCTCACTGACATTTTGAGAGGTGTTTTAATAAAAAGTTTTAAAAATGCATCTGAGACATTATGTGAGAATCCAAAAATCATAGTTTATTGGCTCAGGATTTGTAATAGTTATCACAACACATTCCTGTCCCAGCATATTATTCTTGTAACTTAAAGCTATTTCTCAATATACGATTTTTTGGTAGGCTTTTATATTAAATTGTCAAAATCTGGAGAGTGTATTTTTCTAAAGTTGCTTAAGGCAGAGAAATATAGCACTTATGCAGTTTTCTTCAAAATCATCATGATCTGGAATTATCCTTTGCAATATATTTTATTTCAGTGAATGTGCTCCATAAACATTCCAATTGCCTGATATTTAAGTCAATTTGGTAAATGTTAATTGTGTACCTAATGTATTCCAGGCATTATAATAGGTTTTGGGGCTTCGACAATGAATGCCCCATTCCACCTGTAACATGATGATCTGTTATAATCTAATATAAATTGATAAGCACTAAGCCAAAAACATGAAGGAAGTATTATAGAAGAACCATTAACTTTGCCTGTTGGCTAAGAATCAGAGCAGATTTCACAGAGAGAAAATGGTTTACCATATCACTCAATTTCCTAGTTAAAACAAAAAGTAAACCCAGGATAGAGCTGTCATTTTAATTTAAAAAATTGAAACAAATGAAAGCATTTTACACCTGTGATTTTTGTTTGTGTTGAGACCAATGGAAAAATGAAGGTAAAGATAATAGTGATGATGAAGATGATGAATGATGGTGATGATAATGATGATGGATATTACTGGTTGCATAACCAGCAGCTGTTTTACCTTTTTCTTTTCCCTGCTAACATCCTAATTTTCCTTCTGGTATCTACCCTGCTGATTTGTAGCAACCATGTGATTTGGGACGTTGGTTCCAGATCTAATTAGGTTAAGTCAACTAAGAAAATGACATCTCCCAGTCAGTGATTGGTTTAGGAATCCAAGTGTATGTTAAGCAGAATTGGGAACTCCTTGTCAACAGAGATTGGTTCTGGAAAGGACACAAAACCAGATGTGGATCATTGAAATGTAAGGGGAATTTTGAAAAAAGGATTCTGAGAAACTTTTTCTTATTCTTAAGGGGAAATCTTAGGAGAGCTCTCTCCTGCTGGCCATTGGGAAATATACTATGACAACTATAGCCACCTGATTACCAGCCTGCGGATGAAGCTAGTACATAGAGATGTCATCTGCTCTCTCTCCTCCCTAAGAATCACAGGGAAAATAAAGACAGAGTCCTTAGATTAAGTAAATCCTAAAGCTCATCTGACCTATGGACTTGCATATACAAGAGTTCTAAAATGTTCTTATTGGTTAAGCCAGTTTGATTTGACTTTTCCATTGCTTGCCATGAAAGACATTCTAATAATTTAATAATTAACTCCTGAAAATAAAAACAGCTAACCTAAGGATTAAGATAAATAAAATGCAAAATATTTTAAAAGAATGTGAACAAAAATAATAATAGTAGACAAGGTTAAAACCAGGAAACCTAAAATATTAGCTAAAATATATAAAATTGAAAGTGTAAGTAGAAAATAATTAAATATTACAAATTAATTTGGCCAAAAAATCCTAAAATTGGCAAAAGTAACAAACTTAATTTTCGAAAAAGCACCATGTTCCAGTGTATTAGTAAGGCTCATTCAGTTGTAAGGGAAAGATTGGCATGCACACTACTTTAGGAGGGTTGAAGGCTTAATATACATCAGGTTCTAACTGAGGTCTGAGGGGAGTTGATGGGTGAGTGGCGGTAGCTGGAAAAACACTGGAGGAATAGCGGACAGTTTTGACATGGCTTTACTCTCTCTCTCTCTGGGTGCGAGGGCTCCTGGGCACGAGCTGTGTGCACAAACCATATGTACAACGTTATCAGGATAATTACATCTTTTACAGTCAATAGGGGCTCTGAGTCAAGCATGAGCTCACCTGGGTTATTACCTAATGTGCCTCACATGGAGTGGTTACATAATGAGCAGAGTTGTGTACCTGTGCTCCAAACTCGCTGAGTCATGTAGGACTGGGTGTCTGACTTGGCCGATTCTTGACTGCAGCATATCCATTTTCCTTACGATATAAGAGATGCTTCCAGCTAAGGGTACATAACAGAAATATCTATGCAGTTTTTAGAAACAACACGTTTCTAGTTTCAGCCCTGGTGATTCTGATAAGGCAGGTATTAGTGCAGTCTTGGAATGCACAGTTTTATGGACTGTTCAAAACAACACAAGTTCAGATATCAATACCTGTGATAAAGGCCACTCCTACAAAATATAGGAGATTCTGTATTTGTGTCTCTCCATGTGTCTCTTCCTGGGGTATCTCTTCATGTATGATTCAATATTTGTGTTGCCTCTGCCCTTTGTGTGCTTCTCTGTGCGTATCTCTATTGCTCCATGAGTCTTTCTGTGTGCCTGTGTGTGTGTCTCTATGTGGATGTGTCTCTGGGAGTCTTCTTTGGTGTTTGTTTTTTTTTTTTTTTTTTGTCTTTCATTTCCCTCTGCATATCTTTGAATCTGTGTGTGACCCTTTGTCTATTGTCTCTGTGTCTCCCTCTGGATGTGTAGTATATCTGTGTATTTCTCTCTATGATTGTGTCTTTCCCTGTCTTTATGTGTTTTTGTTTGTGAGTCTGTATCTCTGTGTGTGTTTACTCTTTGGCCCTCTGTATCTCTACAGGTAGTCTTTTCTCTGTGTTCATTTGTCTTTTTCTGTCTATGGGAGCCGCTCTTTTTTGTCTCATTCTTTGTATTTTATTTGCCTGACACAGTGAATTGAGAAAAGAAATAAACTCAGTCAAAGAAACCTTATGTTCTTCTCCACTCTGTACGTAAAACAGAAAAGAAAAAATAAAAGTCATAACCAAATTCTAGGAATTTAAGTGACTGATGTTCCTTAAAGAGGGTCAATCAATCAATGAAAATTATTGTCTGTCCCTCAACCCTCATGTTTCCTTCAGAGCAATAAAACCACTAGACAACAATTAAGTCCTTCATCTCATGAGGCAAACTTGTGTCTTTGAGTGCCTTTCAATGATCTCACAGCATAAGGCACACCTGTTCAGACCTTGTCCCAAACTCACATAATGCAAGACAGAAAACTACCAACACTGAGGGAAAATTTGTTATTCATTTCCTTTATCCTAATCATAAATAATCCTACTTACATGCAGATATCAGTACCTAGTCACATCACTTCTACCTCCTTATTATTTCTTGTAATCACAACCTTTCCTAGGGCATGGCCATCAAGCAGAGAGCATAGCTACGCCACACATTCCTCAAAGGACACCTGCAGCTTTCTTCATCGCAAAGCATTTTTGTGTGTAAAAGGCATACCTCGGAGATATTGCAGGTTTGGTTCCAGACCACCACAATAAAGCACATGTTGCAATAACGTGAGTCACCTGCATTATTTTTGGTTCCCAGTGCATTTAAAAGTTATATTTACAATAAACTATAGTCTATTCAATGTGAAATAGCATATGTCTAAAAAACAGTGTATACACCTTGGTTAAAAATGCTTTATTGATAAAAAATGAGTATCTGAGCCTTCAGCCAGTCATGATTTTAGCTGGTGGGGGGTTTTGCCTCGACGTTGATGGCTGCGGACTGATCAGGGTGGCAGTTGTTGAAAGTTGGAGCGGCTGTTGCAATTTCTTAAAATAAGACAACAATGATGTTTGCCCCAACAATTGACTTTTCTTTTTATGAGAGATTGCTCTGTAGCATGACATGCTGTTTGACAGTGTTTTACCCACAGAACTCTTTGAATATTGGAGTAAATCCTCTCAAATCCTGCTGCTGCTTTATCAACTAAGTTTATGTAATATTCTAAATTCTTTGTTGTCGTTTCAACAATGTTCACAATATCTACACAAGGAGAAGAGTTCATCTCAATAAACCACTTACTTTGCTCATCAATAAGAAGCAACTCTTCATCCATTAAAGTTTGATCATGAGATTGCAGCAATTCAGTCATATTAATTCAGGGTTCACATTTAATTCTAGTTCTCTTGCTATTCACTATATCTGCATTTACATTCTCCACTGAAGTCTTGAACTCCTGAAAGTCATCCATTAGGGTTGAAATCATCTTATTTCAAACTTCTGTTAATGTTAATATTTTGACCTCCTCCCATATATCACGAATGTTCTTAATAACATCTATAAAAGTGAATCCTTTCCAGAAGTTTTCAATTTGTTTTGCCCATAGAATCATCAGTGGAATCACTCTGTATGGTATCTATAACCTTACAAAATGCATTTCTTAAACAGTAAGAGTTAAAAGTTGACGTTACTCCTTGATCAAGGGCTGCAAAATAGATGTTGTGCTAGCAGGCATGAAAACAACATTTATCTCCTTGTACATCTCCATGACCAGGTGCATTGTCAATGGTTAGTGATATTTTGACCAATGATATTTTGAAAGGACTTTCTTTTTCCTGAGCACTAGGTCTCAACAGCAAGCTTAAAATATTCAGTAAATCTTGCCGTAGTACATGTGCTGTCATTTGGGCTTTGTTGTTTCATTGTAGAGCAAAGACTGAATAGAGTTAGCATAACTATTAAGGGCTTTAGGATTTTTAAAATGGAAAATGAGCATTGGTTTATCTTAAAGCTACCAGCTGCATTAGCCCCTACAAGAAGGTCAGCTTGTCCTTTGAAGTTTGAAGCCAGGCATTGGCTTCTCCTCTCTAGCTATGAAACTCCTAGATGGCATATTCTTTCAATCTAAGGCTGTGTCATTTCCATTAAAAATCTCTCATTAAGCATAGCCACCTTCATCAATCATCTTAATTAGATATTTTGGATAACTTGCTGCAGCCTCTATGTCAGCACTTACGGCTTCACCTTGTACTCTCAAATTATGGAGATAGCTTCTTTCCTTAAATCTCATGAACCAGCATCTGCTGGCTTAAAACTTTTCTTCCGCAGTTTCCTCACCTCTCTCAGCATTCACAAAATTGAAGGAAGCTAGGGTTTTTTTCTAGATTAGGATTTGGCCTGAGGAAATGTGTCTGGTTTGATCTCCCCAGACCGCTAAAACTTTCTCCATACCAGCATTAAGGCTGTTTTGCTTTCTTATCATTTAGTGTTTCTGATAAAATACAATTTAAATATCTCCAAAGGTAGTTTTAAAATATGTTAGTAAAAAATATGATTAATGAGTCAGATAAAAAGAAATGGCAATGATCTGTAGATCTTTGGAAAGAAAAAGTTTACATAGTAAAAGCAAGAGTTCCCATCTTCATGATGACTCTGTGTCCTTGGAGGGAGGTAACTTCTCCTAGCCTCTGTTGCCCATAGAAAAAATTAGGAATTAGATTTTACAATTATTAAAATATAACTGGACCCTAAAAATTTCTATTCATCATATATTTTCACTGAAATGAAAACATATTGCCATTTAACTCATAACATTTAAGGAATTAAAAATCATAGTCCCCCATGCTTAAGTTTTCAATCAATCAAACAGTAGTTTACTTTCCAAAAATAAATTTGCATTTACATTTTGTACATGATTTCTAATCTGGCTTAGTTTGTTTTCTAATTTAAACTTTTGTAAAACTTTTACTGAAAAATTATTCAATTGACTAGAACTCATTTCACTGCTAAGAGGCTAAGTAAGTCCTTAATTTCATCTCTCATTATGAATCCCAACAATTTAGTTTATATTCATTTATTTACAGTACATTAATTGTCTTTTTTTCACACATGAGGAGTTTGAATCTAACATACGTAAACTACAGCAAATTTACCAAGATTAAATTCAATATCACAAAGCAATAATGCTATTTAAAACGATGGGACATCGAGTACACTAATGCCTTTTGGCTCTCTAGCTGCTTATCCTGAAAATGTAATCTTCTTGGAAATATAGAATGCTATATCTTCAGGCTTTTAGAAGATCTCTCATAAGAAATAAATTCAATCCAAGATCACAACCAAATAATGCAGTAAACAGATTGTGAAAAGAATAATGATTATAATACATGTTTTTAACACTTGAATTGAAAGAGGAGTAGAATTTTGATTAAACAATATTGAAACTATTTAAATGGGCATATGCAGGAACATACACTTTGAACTTTGAAATAATTTTTAAGACTTCTGACTTTGGAAATTTTTGTTATACATTAAAAGGGCACCGATATTATTATCAGCTAAATCTTATTACTGTGTTTGAGAAAGCTCTGCTATGCACAAAGCACTCAAATGACTTAATCTCCTTAGCTAAAATAGAGACAAGTAATAAAACTTAAAGTATAATAATAATAAAATAAAAAAAAGAAGCAAGAATGAAGGTATCTGACCTTTCCATGATAATGTCAATTACAGTACCTAGATAATAGCTTAGCATTGCAACATAATTCTGATACGTGCTGCAATACAGATGAACCTTGAGAACATTGTGCCAGACACAAAAGAACAATATTGTAAGTTCAAGTTTTTCCAGTATCCAATCTAGGAAAACTGATGAACACAGAAAATAGATTAGGAGGAACCTGATGGTGAGGGATTGGGAGAATATGAAATCATTATTTAATGAGCACAAAAATTTTTGTTTGATAACAGTTACATCTCATTGGCAATGTACTTAATGCTACTGAGTTGTACAATAAAAATGGTTAAAGTAAAAAAAAAAGTAAAGAGAAAACATATATATAGAATCAAACCCTATAATTTATTTATTTCTGACTTTTTATCACTACTTTTTTTCTATGTTAACTGCTATATAGTGGTAACACTAAATAAAATATTACAAGTGTGTTTTTTTGTTATTTTTAGGATTTGTAATGAAATTTTTCTTTGTATATTGAAATGCCTTGCTATTTATTGAATATAAACAGACTCAGTCTTTTCATGTCTGTCTGCACCTTTCGTCATTACATATTTGCTTTCTTCTTTCACTTGATATTTCCCTTAAATTTTACTGATTTAAACATGGAAGTGGGAGAACAATGGTGGCAATATAAGTATTAGGCAGATAAGTTTGTCTGGTGTTTTATTCTTAACTTTGACTAGTCATCATTCAGTGTACTTGGGGGATTGTTTCTAGGACCCCAACAAATACTAAAATCTGCAGATGCTCAAGTCTCTTACATAAAATGGTGTGTAGTATTTGCATATAACTTATGAACACCCTCCTGTATACTTTAATCATCTCTGATTACTTATAGTACCAATGCAATGCCTACAAATTACTTATTTGCATGGATTTAACATAGTTCTTGGTGTCTGAAAATTCAAATTTTGCTTTTTGCAATTTTGTGGAATTGTTTCCTAATTGTTTTTTAACTTTGGATGGTAGGATTCAAGAAAGTAGAACCCATATTACAAAGGACCAACTATATTTTGCTTTAAACATCTTTCATGTAAGAAAAAATTTAGATGTATTACTTTATTTTGGTCTGGTTTCTGCCTTTCTACTTTCCGTAACTTGCCTTTTATCTATCTCAACAAATAAGAAGTATGTATCTTCTTAAATGCCCATTATGTGACCAAGAATTTTGCTAAGCCCTAAGGATACTATATAAATGGTATTGAGTATAGGTTTTATTGAGCATTTTAATGTTTTATTGAATTAAGTATGATTTTTAAAAATATAGAAATAAAATCAATTTGTAGCATTAATGTTATTTATATACACACATATATGTGTGTGTGTGTATATATATATATATATATATATATTTATCTGTCATCTTGTTTATCTTAAAACCTCTCTAGCTATTATTAATCCTTTATGTAACTCTAATAGCCTACACAATAACTTTGGATTTAATACATGGGAAAGAGAAGAGTATATTTTATATCTTTATCTTTCCAGTATTCCGCCATCCTAGTAATCTAATTAGAACTGTGAAAACATTGCTGTGTGTTTTTATATTGCATATTTTTTCTAATGTGTTTGTTTCAATTGTTGGATAATTCTGACTAGCTGCAAGTGTTGCTTTCAGTGTTCTTATTTACTGACCTCTTCAATAAATATATCTGTCAGCATCCATTTTCATCAACAATATCTCTGTTCCAAAATTTCTTTTGAAACTTGGCCTTCAATACCTGGAAATATGTCCTTGAGAAAATTTTGGTGAAAGGATATATTTTATAGCTGTCTAAAGACATACATCATAATTCTTTTTTCCCTGTTTATGCAGGGAAAAAAGGCAGTATGACACAGACAATTCTTAAAATATGCCCTCTTTTTCTCAGAATTTTGTATTTAACTTTACTTTTTATTTTCCAAGTAGCATGTTTTTTTTTTCTTAGTAGTCTAGACATTTATTTATCTTACATTATATTTAGAATTTTGTACAATTATATGGCAATGAGGAGGGCTCTCACGACTATCCTCTTCACCACTGTTTCTGGCATGTATACGATTGCACTTCTCTGCTCCTTTGTAAGTTAGACATGGTCATGTAACTTGCTTTGGCCAATAAAAAGTGAGGGGAAGTGACATACATTATTTTGATCAGAATGCTATAAAAGCATGTGCAAGTTACCCAGTTGTTCTTAAAACCTTTGTATTCTGGGGTTTCTGAGTGATATGGTTTGGCTGTGTCCCCACCAAAATCTTATCTTGAATTGTAGTTTTCATAATCCCCAGATATTGTGGGAGGGACCCAGTGGGAGATAACTGAATCATGGCGGTAGTTACTCCCATGCTGTTCCCAAGACAGTTAATGAGTTCTCATGAGATCTGATGGTTTTATAAGTGGCTTTTCCTCCTTTGCTCAGCACTTCTCTCTCCTGCCATCACGTGAAGAAGGATGTATTTGCTTCCCCTTCCACCATAATTGTAAGTTTCCTTAGGCCTCCCCAGCCATGTGGAACTGTGAGTCAATTAAACCTCTTTTCTCTATAAATTACCCAGTCTCAGATATTTCTTCATAGCAGCATGAAAATGGACTAATACACTGAGGAACTGAAAAGGCAGAATTCTGCCCTCCAAATAGTCTTCACTGGGCTTGTAGCATAAAAAAGAACGTAATGTTTTCTAGATTCAGGTTTTGGGTTTATTTGTGACATTAGCATAACTGTCTATCTTGGCTGAGAAGGATTGCAACTTTATGATCATTCTTCTTAATTGTAGATACAACCTACTAAATCTTATCTATTTTGGAGTATTCTTTCTTATGCAAACAAGAGGAAATACCCTTGACCACATGTGTGCTTATCAGTCTTGTGCAAGTTAGTGTTTCTTCTCCTCTGATAATATATAATCTTAAAAGGTCAGAGATCTAAGATCAGTTTGGCAGATCTATCGTCTTGTTTGTGGAGCATTAAGTAATATTCCTAATTGCCTGCATCTTGGTGAAGCACAGAAACATGGTTTAGATAGTAGGATGTAGTGGATGGTCCTGTCATCTCTTTGTTTAACTCTTCAGTGTTCCACATAACTTTCACATTTATTTTCTTTTGTCCTACTTTAATATACACATCAGTAAAATACTGATTTTAACAGAAATTTTAGCCCATTTGATACAGTAGTTATCATGCAACAATCTTTTCTAAATCTTATATGTCATATAAGAGACATGGTCTCTCCCAGCACTAGTTACTTGCAGCCAAAGAACTTAGGGGGAAAAACACCCTTTGAACAAATAGTTAAGGAATAGAAAAGTCTAGCAAACTAAGGCAAACATAAGGAACTGATACAGTCTCAAATGGCTGTGTCAAACTCCTGAAGATCAGCAGGAAAGCACTGGTTAATGAACAGAGGTTGATAATCAGTCGGAGAGGAATAGATAGAAACTTTGCAGATTTTTTTAAACATCTCCATTTTTATTAGAAACACATCTTCAATGGCTTCCTAGAAGAGTATATGAGAAGTAATATATATCAGTCCTTGCATATTGGAAATATTATGTCTTCATTGCCATTCTTTTTTATGATATATGTATTTATTTGTTCATTTATTTTGATAGATTTAGGGGACACAAATGCAGTTGTGTTACATGGGTATATTACATAGCAGTGAAGTCTGGGCTTTTAGTGTACTCATCTAAATAGTATACATTGTACTCGATAGGTAATATTTCATCTTTCAGCCACCTTCCACCCTCCCACCTTTTGGAGTCTTCAGTGTCTATTTTTCCTCTCTGTATGTCCATGTGTATCCATTGTTTAGCTCCCACATATAAGTGAGAACATGTGGTTTTTTATTTGCTATTATTTTTTAAATTTCAACTTTTATTTTAGATGCAGGAGGTACATGTGCAGGTTTGTTACTGAATATATTGCATAATGCTGAGGTTTGGGATATAGATGAACCTGTCACCCAGGTAGTATGCATATGACCCAGCATTTAGTTCCTTCCTCTTCCATCCCTCCACCTTCTATTAGTCACCAGGATCTCTCATTTCCATCTTTATGTGCATGAGTATCCAATATTTAGATCTACTTATAACTGAAAACATGATATTTGGTTTTCTGTACCTGCCATAATTCACTCAGGATAATGGCCTACAGCTATGTCATGTTGCTGCAAAAGACATGATTTTGTTATTTTTTATGGCTGCATAGTGTTCCGTGGTGTCAGATATGATTAGATTTTGTGTCCCCACCCAAATCTCATCTTTAATTATAATTCCCATAATTCCCACATATCTAGGGAGAGACCTGTTGGGAGGTGATTGGATCATGGGGGCAGTTTTGCTCATGCTGTTCTCATGATAGTGAGTGAGTTCTCACAAGATATGAGGGTTTTATAAGGGACTGTTCTTCCTTCACTACTCACTCTTCCCTCTCCTGCTGCCTTGCAAAGGAGGATGTGTTTGCTTCCCCTTTTGCCATGACTTTAAGTTTCCTGAAGCCTCCCCAGCCATGCAGAACTGTGAGTCAATTAAACCTCTTTCCTTTATAAATTACCCAGTCTCAGGTATTTCTTTATAGCAGTGTGAAAACAGACAAATACAGTAAATTGGTACTGAGGCAGTGGTATACTGCTATAAAGATACTTGAAAATGTGGAAGTCACTTTGAAACTGGGTAACAGGCAGACTTTGAAACAGTTTGGAGGGCTCAGAAGAAGATAGGAAGATGTGGGAAAATTTGGAACTTCCTAGAGACTTGTTGAATGGTTTTGACCAAAATGCTGATAATGATGTGGACAGTGAAGTCCAGGGTGAGGTGGTCTCAGATGGAGATGAGAAACTTATTGGGAACTAGAGCAAAAGTCACTCTTGCTATGCTTTGTAAAGAGACTGGTGGCATTTTGCCCCTGCCCTAGAGATCCGTGGAACTTTGAATTTGAGAAAGATGATTTAGGGTATCTGGTGGAAGAAATTTCTAAGCAGCAAAGCATTCAAGAGGTAACCTGGTTAAGTTTGAAAGCATTCAGCCTTATACATTCACAAAGAGATGGTTTCAAGTTAGAAATTATATTTAAAAAGGAAGCAGAGCATAAAAGTCTGGAAAATTTGCAGCCTGATGATGTGATAGAATAGGAAAACCCATTTTCTGAGGAGGAATTCAAGCCTGCTGCAGAAATTTGCATAAGTAATGAGGAGCCAAATGTTAATTGTCAAGACAATGGGGAAAATGTCTCCAAGGCATGACAGAGATCTTCACAGCAGCCCCTTCCATCATAGTTCCGGAGGTCTAGGAGGAAAAAAATGGTTTCATGCCTGGGCCCAGGGCCTTGCTGCTTTGTGCAGTTTTAGGACTTGGTGCCCTGCATCCCAGCCATGGCTAAAAGGGGCCAACATATAGCTCAGACCATAGATTCAGAGGGTGCAAGCAACAAGCTTTGGTGGCTTTTACATGGTGTTGTGCCTATAGGTGCACAGAAGTCAAGAATTGAAGTTTGAAAACCTCTGCCTAGATTTCAGAGGATGTATGAAAATGCCTGGATGTCCAGGCAGAAGTTTGCAGCATGAGTGGAGCCCTCATGAAGACTATGTGCTAGGGCAATGAGGAAGGAAAATGAGGGATTGGAGCCCCCACATGGAGTCCCCATTGAGACACTGCCTAGTGGAGCTGTGAGAAGAGGGCTACCATCCTCCAGACCCCAGAATGGCAGATCCACTGACAGCTTGGACCATCCACCTGGAAAAGCCACAGACACTCAATGCTAGCTTGTGAAAGCAGATGGGATTAGGGCTGTACCCTGCAAAGCTACAAGGGCAGAGATACCCAAAACCATGGGAGCCCACATTTTGCATCAATGTGACCTGGATATGAGACATGGAGTCAAAGGAGATCATTTTAGAGCTTTAAGATTTAATGACTGCCTTGTTGGACTTTGAATTTGCATGGGTGAGCATCCTATCTTGTTTTAGTTCTCAAAGGGAATGCTTCCAGCTTTTGCCCATTCAGTATGATGTTGGTTGTGTGTTGGTCATAGATGCCTCTTATTATTTTGAGGCACATTCCTTTGTGATTAGCTCGTTGAGGGTTTTTATCATGAAGAATGTTGGATTTCATTGAAGACTTTTTCCATGTCTATTGAGATAGTCATATGGTTTTCACTTTTAATTCTGTTTAAATGGTGAATCCCATTTATTGATTTGCATATGTTGTACCAACCTTACACCCCAGGAATAAAGATACTTGCTCATACTGAATTAACTTTTTGGTATGCTGCTGGTTTTGGTTTGCTAGTATTTTGGTGATTATTTTTGCATCTATATTTATCAGGAATATTGGCCAGAAGTTTTCTTTTTTCATGTGTCTTTGCTACCAGGTTTTGGTATCAGGGTGATGCTTGCTTTGTAGATTAGTCAGGGAAAAGTTCTTCCTTTATAATTTTTTTGGAATAGTTTCAGTAGAATTGGTACCAATTCTTGTTTGTATGTCTGTTAGGATTCAGCTGTGAACTCATCTGGTCTAGGACCATTTTTGGTTGGTAGTTTTTTTTTTTATGACTGATTCAATTCCAGAAATCCTTATTGGTCTATTCATGGTTTCAATTTCTTCCTGGTCCAATCTTGGGAAGTTGAATGTTTCCAGGAATTTATTCATTTTCTCTGGATTTTCTTGTTTGTCTGCATACAGATGTTGATAATAGTCTAATTTGTATGCCTGTGGGATTCGTTGTAATGTTGCCTTTATTGTTTCTGATGATGCTCATTTAGCTCTTCTCTATTTTTTGTTTGTTAAATTTAGCTATTGATCTATTATTATTGTTTGTCCTTTCAAATAACCAACTTTAGGATTTTCTTGATTCTCAGTATGGTTTTTCACATGTAAATTTTGTTGACTTTAGTTATTTCTTTTTTTTTCCTGCTAGTTTTGGGGTTAATTTGTTCTCAGTTTTCTAGTTCTCCTAGGTGTGGGATATTAGATTGTTAATTTGAGATATTTTTAACTTTATGAGGTAGGCATTTAGTGCTCTAAACTTCTCTTAACACTGCTTTATCTGCATCCAAAAGGTTTTTGTTTATTTCAAAGTTTTTTTTTTAACATTTTTTTATGTCTGTCTTAATTTCATTGTTTACCTCAAAATCATTCAGGAGCAAGTTGTTTAGTTTCCATGTAATTGTGCAGGTTTTGGTGATCTTCCTAGTATCAGTTTCTATTTTAATCTACTGTGGTCTGAGACTATGGTTGGTATAATTTTGATTTTTTTTTGAATTTCTTGAGACTTACTTTATGGCTGAGCATGTGGTTAACCTTGGAGTATGTTCCATGTACAGGTGAGAAGAATGTGTATTGATGGATGTAATGTTCTGTAGGTGTCAACTAGGTCAAACTGGTTAAGTGCCAAATTTAAGTCTAGAATTCATTTGTTAGTTTTCTGCCTTGATGATCTCTCTACTGCTGTCAGTGGGGTTTTGAGGTCCTCCACTATTATATGGGGGTGTGTAGGACTTTTGGTAGGTCTAGAAGTACTTATTTTATGAATCTGTGTCCTCCAATTTTGGGTACGTATATATTTATGACAGTTAAGTCTTCTTGTAAAATTGAAAACTTTATGTAGTTTCCTTCTTTGTTTGTTTTTAATAGTGTTGGTTTAAAGTCATTTTATCTAATATAAAAAGAATGGCCCCTGCTCTTCTTTATTTTTCATTTGTATGATAGATAAGTTATCGGTATCCAGATTCCTTCTCAAGCTCGAACCAACATTATACTTTTCCTGGAGTCAAAACGGGACTTAACACAAGTGTATACATGACAATTAATGCATTGGACAGTTTGATTGTTCGTCCAAATTTTGATGTTTCCCACTAACAGCATGTAAGGAAGCTTAACATAACTTTGTATAGGACTAATCAGGTTGGAGGTAAACAAGGCAGAATGTCTGAATCTACGTTGATACTGAGGGAGAGGAGCAGCAGTGGCCATGCCCGATGTTCTCCACCATAAAGCAGCAATCGGAGGTGCCCGGGGATGCCAAAGAGGTAGAGGGTCATACCTGGGTAGAGAAGAATTATCATAATGCCAATTGGAGTCCCATAAAGGAGGACTGAGATCAAAAAGAGGAAAAGGGTTCAAAGGGGATTTATCATGGGGTTCAGAATCACGGATGCGAAGGGCGGTAGAGGGGGCAACAGACAGAAAAGTTTCCCCTTCCCATACTTGCAGTCCAGACATGGCAATAGCCAATTTCCAAAGTTCTGGGTGTTCTGGGCTCAGAATGGGGAATATCATATGAGGCCTTGGGGGAGTAATGCCCTTATCTTCCGATTTTAAGGGAAAGAATGAGCTGAACCTCCTATGCAAAGTAGGATGATGATCCTCCTCATCCTCCCAATAAGAAATAGAATAAGTAGCCTCCAGGCATTCCCTTCTGCCAGAGAAGCAATTGTTTTTTAAATAGCCCTTTGGTGCCCAATCTATTACTAAACCATATGAGTCACTTTTTAAATATTACTGCATGTGAGTTGACACAATCTTCCCAAATTAAAGTTTTAGATGGGCCCTCAAAATTTTTAGGACATGGTTTTCCTACAGGTTTATATTGAAAGTATGGGGTATCTCCTATTACTCCCCTTTTCATTTGTCTTGAAGGAGAAAGGGAGAGGCTGGAGAACAAATGTCCCAGTTTGTCTGTAGCTAATCTCTCCAGAAGATAAGCAGTTCAGACTTCAGTTTCTAGATGGATACAACCAGGTGCATATCCGAGGCACAGAGGAGGGTATTTGTAACCCATAGTAACATTAAATGCTGTGCCTTCTTCTGGTTGAGCGGGGCAATGGTCAGCTGTAGCTCCAGGCATCCACACACTATCGTTAGCATAGATTTCTGCAGGAGCATCCATCCAGGTGAGAGGTCAAATAAGTGGAGGAAAAGGTACATAAGCCCAATAAGAATAATTTTGTGTAGCAGGTAAATCAGTGTGAGAGGAAACAGGTGAGACAGAAAGTATAAGGAGGAGAATCATTAAATGAAACCTATTGTAAGCGAGATTCAGTGCTGAAGGAGGAAGAGAAGAACAGGGGGATGTTGTTTTCAGGTTAATAGAAATGGTGAGATTTTTAGGTTTGTAAGGAGAAAAAGAAAGGGAATTAGGAGAAGTGGGATTAGTTAGAGGGGTCTCCATTGCCATTAGGGAGGATCAAACCAGATCCATTTTGATTTGGCTGGCCAGTTTTTGAGGAGTCGGCACAGATCTCACCACGTATGAGGGCAGTCTCTGATGCAGATGTATTTTCCCTGTGGTTTTCGTTGTCAGTATTCAAACGAAGTTTAAGTCTCTTAGTGGGTACCCAGACAGGGGATTGATGATCTCCTGGTGAAACACAAGCATACTCTCTTCCCCACGTTATAATTGTTCCAGGTTCCCAGGTATTGGTTTGGAAATTTTTCCATAACACTGGCTTGCCTTCATTTAGGCAGAATTTTTTGCCTGTATAATGGTGTTCAGCTGCAGTGAGAGTATTGTCTTTAGGAACATTTAGAAAGTCTAAAGTAAACAATGCCAAATGTAATTGGGAGTGGGGAGTGTTCGATTTATGCTTTTGTTGTTCAGACTGTTTGGACAATTGAGTTTTTAAAGTGCAATTTGCCCACTCCACCACAGTCTGTCCCTGAGGATCATAAAGGATTCTGGTAATAAGGGAAATTCTCCATTGTTGCATAAATAAGTCAAAAGCCTTACTAACATATCCAGGGGTGATGTCTGTTTTTATTTGATATGAAAGCCCCGTAACTGCAAAGCAAGAATACAAATGTCTTTTAACATGGGCCGTGCCTTCCCCTGTTTGGCAAGTAGCCCAGATAAAGCCTGAAAAGGTGTTTACAGAAACATGTACATATGAAAGTCTGCCAAAGGAGTTAACATGAGTTACATCCATTTGCCATAAATCATTAGGAGTTAGGCCTCTGGGATTAATGCCAGGTTCCTGATTTGAAAGTACAAAAACTTGGCACTGAGGGCAGCGGTGGACAATAAGCTTAGCCTCTTTCCAGATGACAGCAAATTTATCTTTTAATCCAGCAGCATTGACATGAGTGACATTATGGAACTCCTGAGCTTCTTGGGTTGCAAAAGAGACCAAACAGTTGACCTTTTGGTGGCCAGCAGACATGGGTCCTGGTAAAGTGGTATGAGATCTAATATATGTAATATAGAAAGGGTGTCTACATTGGCGAACCACCTGTTGTAACCTTGAAAATAAAGAAGCCAATTCAGAATTATCAATATGTTTGATAGTAGCGGTTTCTATATTTTTAGTGGCATGTAAAACATAAACAGAATCAGAGACAATGTGTAAAGGTTTGGGGAAATCCTGTAAGGCAGTAATTACAGCAATTAACTCTGCCTTTTGAGCAGATGTCTAAGGGGTAGAAATAAGCTTGTCTGTAGGACCCACATAACCAGCATTTCAATTACTGGAGCCATCAGTGAACACTGTAATGGCCTCAGGAATGGGCTGATCTTTGGTCAATCGAGGGACCACCCAAGAAGTCATTTTTATAAAATCAAACTTTGTTTTTTGGATAATGATTGTCAATAACACCAATAAAATCAGCCAAGTGAATTTGCCACAGTATGGAATGTTGAAAGCAGCTTGAACTTCGAGCTGACTTAAAGGAACCACAATTAAATTGGGATCAAATCCAGAAATTTTAAGTATTCTACATTGAGCTTGTCCAATTAGGGTGGCTATTCGATCCAGATAAACAGACAAAGTTTTTGACACAGAATAAGGAAGAAAACACCACTCCACTAAATCATCACATTGAACTATTAGCCCAGTAGGGGAGTGTAATGAAGTGAAAACCAGAAGCTGAAAGGCTGAGACCGCTGTACCCTAGACAACTGGGCAGTTTGGATTCTTCCCTGTACTGACTCCAGTTCCAGTGAAGCCTCAGGGGTCAAAGTCCTGGGACAGCAGAGATTGGAAACTCCACATAGCACGGAAAACAAGTTAGATAGCACATATGTTGGAATGCCTAAAGTAGGTCTTAAATAATTAATGTTACCCAAAAGTCTTTGGAAATCATTTAAAATTTTCAAGGAATCTTTCCTAATCTGAAACTTTTGAGGTTGAATACATTCTTTATTGACTACCATTCCTAAATATTGAACAGGAGTGGTCTGTTGAATTTTATCCTGAGCGATGTGTAATCCAGCCTCTGTAACATGGTGGCTCAAAAATTGATAACAGTCAATTAATTTTTTATCAGTGGGAGCAGCAATTAATATATCATCCATATAATAAAGAATATAGGCCTGGGGAAATTGAGCTCGAACTGGTGAAAGCACCTCTCCAACATAAAGCTGGCAGATGGTAGGGCTGTTCAGCATTCCCTGAGGAAGTGCTTTCCATTGCTAACAAGCTGCAGGCTCCTGATTATCGATAGATGGTACAGTAAAGGCAAATTTTTCACAATCCGATTTATGTAAAGCAATATGCAAAAAAGTCTTTAAGATCAATAATTATGAGAGGCCAATTCTTAGGTATTAAGGCAGGGGCAGGCATGCTGGGTTGGACGGTTCCCATAGGTTTAATTACTGCACTAATGGCCCTTAAATCAGTCACCATCTGCCACTTGCCTGATTTCTTTTTTACTAGAAACACAGGAGAATTCCAGGGGGAAAGAGAAGGTCTCACATTTCCAAGTTGTAACTGTTCAGAAACCAAGTGAGTTAAAGCCTCCAGTTTTTCTTTAGAGAGTGGCCACTGCTCAATCCAAACAGATGTTTCCGATTTCCATTGTAAAGGAATAGGACTAGGATGCGTGGCAGTGGCTGCCATTAAAAAGGATAACCTAAACCAGCCCTGTCTTGTTTTACAGTAAACTTGAAGGGGGTTAGTAATTCCTTCATGTTTTGGACTGAGACTGAGTCTGGGAACAAACCCCATGTTTTCCATTATATGTTAACTGGGAGCACTATGAGTTATGTGGAATATTAATTTCAGCCCCCCATTGTGCCAGCAAATCTCTACCCCAAAGATTAATGGGGATTGGCATGATATAAGGCTGAATTGTACCGTTTTGACCATCAGGGCCAGTGCAAGGCAAGATAAATGTGCTCTGGTGAACTTCATCAGCTTTTCCAACACCTACTAGTCCCATGTTAGTGGGATGTTTAAGCCAGGAGGAAGGCCATAAATTAGAGGAAATAATAGAAACTTCAGCCCCAGTATCTACTAGGCCCTCAAACTTTTTTCCTCAAATGTATATGGTGCAGGTGGGCTGTTGTTTAGAAATTACATTAATCCAATAAGCGGCTTTTTCACTGCCGGAGCCCATCCCCAGGGCCCTGTGTCTTATCTCCTTTGTTTAAAACAATATTAGATAGTAAAAGTAATTGAGCAATTGACTCACCAGCCAGAATGGAAACAGGAACCTCGGCAGAACCATAAGTTTAATCTCATCAGAGGAATCAGAATTAATGAGACCAGTATGAACCATGATTCCTTTAGCAGAGGTGGAGGCCCAACCTAACATGAGGCCCACCGAGCCTTGAGGTAAAGGGCCAGTGACCCCCATGGGAACAATTAAAAGCAAAGAATTAGGGAGTAAATTTAGAGGAATGGTACCACAGAGATCGAGACTGCCCTGCCCCCTACTGTGGAGGTAGAGAAGCATTGTACTGAGACAGAAGAGGCTGGGACCCATCAGGGTTGACTGTAGGTAAATTTGTTTGTGCTGGGGGCTGCACTGGGACCACTTGAAGTGGAAACGCAACATTGGCCTGAGTGTGAGGTGTCCCATTTGATATTGGGGCCTGGGACTGGCCCTTCTTCCCATTTCCCTGGTTCTGTGGCAAGGGATTTTCATCTATATCATATTTAGAGCAGCAAGTACTTGCCTAATGTTTACCTTTATGACAACACGGGCACACAGTAGCAGGAGCATTTGGCTGTGTTTGTTGAGCTGGCTTGGCCACTTTTAAGTTTTTAACAGTGAAATTTTTTTGAGTATGACCAAGTTGACCACAATTATAGCAGACTCCAAGAAAAGAATCAGTTGAGCCAGTTTGATTGCTGTCCTTCATGGCCCGTGCCCACAGAATAGCTTTGTGGGTCTCTGATCCAATGCCTTCATAAGCTTTAATATATGCAGGCAACACCTTGTGATCTGGTAAATTTTGTCATTGGACAGAATGCATGGCCATTTTACATTCATGGTTTGCATTCTCAAAAGCTAACATACGAAGGAGAATACCTTGAGTGCGCTCATCAGAGATGGATTTTTGAACAGCATCTTGTAATTTGGCCAAAAAACAGGATATAATTCATTGTGACCCTGTTTAACAGTAGTAAAAGAAACAGGAGCTTGGCCTGGGGCACGTAATTTATCCCAAGCTCTCATACACACCTCTGTTACTTGTTCTGTGCTGAGAGTATCAAAGCCTAATCGTGCGGTAGTGTCAGAATAATTATTGGAGCCTGTGAGCTGAGCCTAATTAGAATGCCATCAGCCTGATTTAGCTGAGCCTGCAGATGGGCCTCCTCTGACCACCAGGTATGGAATTATAAATGCTGAGATGGAGTTAGAACAGCTTTTGCCAAAAGGTCCCAGTCTAAAGGAAGCAAAATGACCTCAGTACAAAGAGTCTGTAATACCATTTTAACATATGGAGAAGTAGGACTATACTGAGTACAAGCATCCTGGAATTCTTTTAAAAAGGTAAGATTGAGCAGCGCATATCAACGCACTTGTACCCCATGAGCATTTGGAGGTTCCAGCATGACTAGATAAGCCCACACTTCTAATCCACTTGTTTCTTTGTTGTGGTGTAATAAGCATTGCATGGAAGTTACAAGAGCAGTCACATGAGACAGAGTCAGCATAGAAGTGAGAGGAAAAGTATGTGTAGATAAGGGAAACTGAGGTTTAGGAGGTTGGACCAGTATGAGAGTGTGAGGAAGGAGCACCGGGGGAGCAGAAGAGGCAGAAGCATACTGGTGATTATTGGTGTCCATGTGTGAAGAAGGGTACAGAGAAGCAGGTTGAGTGGATGGCAAAGTGATCAGTTGAGGGACCAAAATGACAGGAGGGTGAGAGGCTGCAGTGGATGGGGGAGGGCCTGCAGAATTACAAGTAAACTGTAGTTTGGTCCTGGAGCCATTAGGTAGCTCTGGTGCCAAAGACTGCAAAGGTCTGGAGAGGGAAGAGTTAACATAGATATGGTCCCGGGCTGTCCGAGTTGGGGCCGTGGGAGCTACAAGTATCAGCTCTTCGTGAAAAGAAATGAGATCATCGGGGGTGATGTTAAGCCAAAGTCACCAGAATTAGATATTGAATCCTCACTATCATCAGGTGGGGGAGGAGTAGGCGAAGGGAGAGGCTGAGCAGATAACGAAGGCTGAGCAGGACAGGAAAGCTGAGGAAAAGGTAGAGGGTCACCAGATTCAGAAAATTGTGGTAACTGTAGGGGGTCATGGGATTGGTGTGTCATTAGGATGACAAGTACCAAGGCCCTATCACCCCAAACAGTGATGGGAGCATAGTTTCCTGTTGGGACCAGTTCCCAGAATTTTGCACCAACACGATCCCATAGTTCCACATCTAACGTTCACTTTTCAGGAAACCAAGGACAGTGTTCCTCCACTGCCCTGAATAGAGTGACCATATTTTCCATGGGCACTCGAACACCACCCTGTTTTAACAGGAGTTTAATATAGCAGAGATAAGCATGATGTTTAGACTCCACGTGACCCATAGTTACCTTGGACAATAAACAGACAACTCACCAATTGTCAGGGAGCTGAACAAGAATTTCTGTGGACCAGACTGATGAACATTTCTCTGCACCTACCAAAGGGAATCAGGTTCCCACATGCACTTAGGAAAAAGAAAACCACATTAGGTGGCAGATATCAGGGGAATCCACCCCCAATATTTCAATGTAGGTTCTTTCTATTTTCCATAAGTGTCAGCCAGCTGAGAAATAAAGAGAAAGAATACAAAGAAGAGGACTTTTACAGCTGGGCCTCTGGGGGTGACATCACATATCAGTAGGACCACGATGCCCACCTGAGCCTTAAAGCCAGCAAGTTTTATTAAGGATTTCAAAAGGGGGGAGTGCAAGAACAGGGAGTAGGTCACGAGATCACATGCTTCAAAGGGCAAAAAGGAGAACAAAGATCACATGCTTCTGAGGAAACAGGACAAGGGCAAATTCAGAACTACTGATAAAGGTCTATGTTCAGCTGTGCACGTATTGTCTTGATCAACATCTTAAACAACAGAAAACAGACTTTGAGAGCAGAGAACTGGTCTGACCTCAAATTTACCAGGGCAGGGTTTCCAAATCCCAGTAAGCCTGAGGGTACTGCAGGAGACCAGGGCGTATTTCAGCCTTTATCTCAACCGCATAAGACAGACACTCTCAGAGCGGCCGTTTATAGACCTCCCCCCAGGAAGGCAATTCCTTTCCCAGGGTCTTAATATTAATATTCCTTGCTAGGAAAAGAATTTAACGATATCTTCCCTACTTGCACGTCCGTTTATAGGCTCTCTGCAAGAAGAAAAATATGGCTCTATTCTGCCCAACCCCGCAGGCAGTCAGACCTTATGGTTGTATTCCCTTGTTTCCTGAAAATCGCTGTTATCCTGTTCTTTTTCAAGGTGCACTGATTTCATATTGTTCAAACACACATGTTTTACAATCAATTTGTACAGTTAACACAATATTGGTCCTGAGGTGACATACATTCTCAGCTTACAAAGATAACAGGATTAAGAGATTAAAGTAAAGACAGGCATAAGAAATTATAAAAGTATTAATTTTGGGAAGTGATAAATGTCCATATTAAAGTGAAATCTTCACAATTTGTGTTCAGAGATTGAAATAAAGACAGGCATAAGAAATTATAAGAGTATTATTTGGGAACTGATATATGTCCATATTAAAATGAAATATTCTCAATTTATATTCCTCTGCTGTGACTCCAGCCAGTCCCTCCATTCGGGGTCCCTGACTTTCTGCAACAAACATAATACCCAATAGGTGGTTGTTAAGCCTACATTCCTTCCCTCCCTCCTATCCAGTAGCCTGCTGTATCTATTGTTCCCATATTTATGTCTGTGTGTATTCAATGTTTACCTCCCACTTGTGCAAGACCATGCAGTATTTGCTTTTCTTTTCCTGTGTTAATATATTTTGGATAATGGCCTCCAGCTGCATCCATGTTGCTGCAAAGGACATAATTTCATTCTTTTTTATGACTGGATACTATTAATATTTTATGGTGTCTGTTTACCACATTTTTAAAATCCACTCCTCCATTGATGAGGACCCAGGTTGATTCTATGTCTTGGCTATTATAAATAGCTCTGTATAAACATAAGAATACATGTATCTTTTTGATAGAATGAATTATTTTCTTTCATATATATACCCAGTATTGGGGTCCCTCGGTCAAATGGTGGCTCTGTTTTATATTCTTTGAAATCACTGAATTGCTTTTCTCAGTGGCTGAAATAATTCGCATTCCCATCAATAGTGTATAAGCATTCCTTTTTCTCTGTAGTCTCACCAGCATCTTTTTTTTTTTTTTTTTTTTTTTTTTTTTTTTTGCTTCAATAGTCCTATGCACTTCTGTAAGCAGGTTTTATATTGGGCTGTGTGGTTCCATGTACAAGGCAGTAGAATGATACCACTGAAATTGCCTTTAAAATAAAATCTTCAACGTATAGTCGTTGCATTTTATGATCTTCATATTATATAATAACTTGGTGGCATGCCTGGCTAACATGGGTAGAAGACACAAACACACACATACACACATGGACACACACTCATATGTAGCTTTATCAGCAATGATCTTATTAATTATTTGCAAAATTATTGAGGGGCTGGTAGAGGTTTCAGTTAAAGTACAGAAAATAGAATCAGGAAACCATTCCTAAATGGAATAATTGTTGATGTGATTCAAACAAAGGTTTTTGTTATATGAAACTCCATTGTTTTCCTAAGAGTTTGAGTTATATTAAGAGAGTAAAACTGGCCCAGTTGTGCCTTGGAAGTGATATTTATGGTTTCTTTTGAATAAACATAAAAATCCACCCTCTCTGTCTTAAAACTTGAGAAACTTTCATTCCTCTTGTTTGAGTTTCTTTCTCAGGAAACCATGCATCAGACTTCCCAGACAGTATCAAGAAAATGAAACCTACCAGATCACCACATCTAGGCAATGAGACACCAGACTCCTTACCCATTATGGTTGCCTAACTGACCACCTGCTGCCTGTTGACCAACTTCTCTTTACCTCCCCAAATTCCTGTTTTCCCACAGGTAGTTAGATTTCTTTCCTGTTATATAAGCCCCTAATTTTAGTAAGGAGATGGTTTTGAGACTGATCTTTCATGCTCCTTGGCTGTAGCACTTACATGAAGGCTTCTCTGGCAATACTAATTTTCTCAGTGATTGGCTTTTTGTGCAGTGATCAGCAGAACCTAAACCAAACCCCTGGCATTTCAGTAAACAGAAGACAATCTCCCCAAAGTCCTGGGTCTCCAGTATTCCTCCTCTGACACCATTCTGATGGGGGAACCATGAGGCATCTTTGTATATGGGTCTCTTCATGAAAGCTGACTTGAATGCACCTGCAGAGTTCCTGTCTTCATGTGGGTGGCCTCTTAGGAGGTTAGAGAAGCAGACTGGGGCCCCAAACCTTCCATGTTTGTGCATTGGTACCCATCATATGTGGAGCTGGTACAAACATGTATGAGGCAGTGGTGGTCAAGTGAAAGAACCCAGGTGTTGGTCATATCTAAGGACTATGTTGACATAACTTTGGCATGCTAGCCTGCGCAGAAGCTCCGTGCTTCTTACCCTATTTCTGAGGGCCAAAGACATTTGCATACGATTTAGTTTGTTCGAATGTGTTTCTTGTAAATAGCGAAATGTTTAGGTTTTTAAGAAATTTAAAAGCTGATTTTTGAACAGCAAAACTCAGTAAATCCATGTTCATTTTGAGTAGTCGGGATTTGTTTTAATAGTTTCTGTCACTTTTGTTATTATGTTTTCTATTTATAGGTTCTCTTGTTTGTTTCTTTCTTTCTTTCTCTTGTTTGCTCTTTCAAACTGTGTTTGTTTAAACAATCAACTTTTTTTCCTTTAGGGTTCTTAAAGAAGTTTTCTACTTTATGTTCATGAATCTTGTTGTCTTTAATTTTAAATAATATTATAATATTTATTTTGTGCACAATTAAAACAAGTAACTATGATTGAATAAATAATCCATTATCCTAAACCCTAAAAACTTCCATTTATGTAAAAATAATATATCAAGATGAAAAAATTCAAATCATAGAACGTTACAAAATAAAAATAATCTGCTCTGTATTTTCCAACCTTCTTTCCTTCCAAAATTACTGTTACAGGCTTTTTGTTTTGGGTATCCATCAGTGTGTGTGTGTGTGTGTGTGTGTGTGTGTGTGTGTGTGTGTAAGTGTAAAATGGTACGTCATAAATCCATATAATATCTGTATAATGAAGTCATAGACATTATGAAAAGATGCCAAAAAATCTTTAATATTATATTATGTTAAGTATGATTTGTATTATATGAAGTATTAACATCACATGAAAGACATGCTCTGTGCACTGTTTCATTCTCTGCTTTTTCAGCTTGATACAGTATATTTTAGAGATGTTCCATATCAATATATAAAAGTATACTTAGTTAATTTAATTTCATAGTATTACATGTACAGATAAACCATGATTTTATTGGCTGATGGAATGTTTAGGCTAATTCCTAATTAATTTTTTTAATCACAAATGCTACTATAAGCAAACTTGCACGTTTCTTAGCAGAACTTTACACATACATCCTAATAGTGGAAATTTACACATACATCCTAATATTGGAACTTATGGGTAAGAAGATCTCAGAAGAGTTACTCTTCATTGAATTGATTTGAGATATCTGTACTTTATTTCCCTCAGGGAACTTGGATCAACATATTCAAGGAACTTGGATGAACATATCTTTCCCCATGTTTATTACAGCCTCAGTTTCCTAACATGTACTATTTACAGATCACTATATCTACTGTTCCTTCCTCATATTTCTGTTATAAAACTCAACAGAAATAGTAGCTGCTTCTTTCATGGAATTGTGGAAAGGAATAGAAATAATATATGTGAATACTCACATATGATCCATATTTAGTGAATAAGAAATAATTACTTTTATTTTTATAAGTGCAGTTATTATTGAAACTAGAGAGAGGGAAAAAAACTGAACAGACCAATGAAATAAAAAAAAAAACTTACCTGTGGGGATCTTTGGTTCAAAAATAAATATGGTAGGGGTTGAGGGGAGTAATAGTATTAAATCATGTTAGGTTATTAATAACTATTTCTTGAACTAGTTTACAATAAAAGACATGTGGATTGGTGAAACCCCATCTCTACTAAAAATACAAAAATTAGCCAGGCATGGTGGTGTGTGCCTGTAATCACAGCTATTAGGGAGGCTGAGACAGGAGATTTGCTTGAACCTGGAAGGTGGAGGTTGCAGTGAGCTGAGATCGTGCCACTGCACTCCAGCCTGGGTGACAGAGCGAGACTCTGACTCTAAAAAAAAAAAAAAGACATGTGCATAAGTGTAAAATTTTAAAATGAAGGAAAATAAGAAAGAATAAAGATTAAGCAAATCATAAATAATGAAGGGAAAGACATAAACCAAGAACATAGAATTATATAATTATGCTATTGCTATTGGTCCTTAATTTGGGCATAAAGATATATATATATTTATATTACATTTAGGAACTGGAAAGTTATATATCATTTTAATGCCTCACTGGTTTTCAACTCCTCATCCTAAAACAACTGCCTCTTTCCTCTACCACCAGTGGCAGGTAAATTATTTTGCTTATCAGTGGTATTCCATGTTTTGCTGTTTGGCTACTTGTATGCATCCACCATTTCTTCTGAGACCATACTGAAAACAAATAAATGAGCATTCTTAATATCAGAAGAAGACCAAAAGTAAGGAAGAATGAAATTGAGGCCAAAAGGTTGAGAGAAGCAAGATGTAGTTGCTCTTTTCCTGGGCCAGTACATGGTGGTTTCTGTTTGAGTGGGCAATTTCAGATCTCTGGTGAGCCAGAGATATATTATATATATATAGAGAGAGAGATATATTATATATATATATATATTGAGTTGTCACATAATTTATGAGGGATAAACTGAATTATCACATAAATAAAATAGTGTATTTTTCTGTAAGGTAAAACAGAAGATCAAATTAATTTTGGGGAAGCAAAACCAATATGACTTATTTTCTCTTGTTAGTAGTCCCTTAAAAAATATACCAAAGACATCTGAAGATCACAAGTACCATTTCACAAATTCTATGCCTTGCAAAATTGAAGATAAGAACCAGTAAAGTCAAATAACATTAATAAATGCTTATATTGCTATGCATTAATATATAAAAACTGTATTTCATTTTGCTAGAGATTCTTCATTACAATTAATTAAATTCACATAATTAGCATACCCATATGTTTGTTAAAATTAGCTTTCACTTTTATCTGTAAGGAAACAGAAATATCAATCTAAGATCCAAGAACAATGTGCTTTGTCAGGAGTCTGGAAGATACAAACGCAAATGAAGGCACAAGGAAGAATCAAGGAAGAGTAGGTAACCACACATTGACTAGAGCTTCTAAGAGAGCACTGAAATTTAGCAGGTAGGTGACAAAAATCTCTAAGGAATAAAAGGAGACAGCAGCAAGCACTAGTCTAGCCAGGATCATTTTTGACCCAGGAGGAACACTCCATTGTAGGAGAAAAGTAGGTGAAAGATTCCCAGGTGATATGGTTTGGCTCTGTGTCCCCACCCAAATCTCAGGTTGAATTTTAATCCCCCAGTGTTGGGGGAGGGACCTAGTGAGAAGGTGATTGGATCATGGGGGCAGATTTCCCCCTTGCTGTTCTTGTGATAGTGAGTAAGTTCTCATGAGATCTGCTTGTTTAATAGTATGCAGCACTTCCCCTTTTATTCTTTTTCCTGCCACCATGTGAAGATGTGCAGCCCCTCCTATTAGAGGCCCAGAGGCCTAGGAGGGAAAAATGATTCTGTGGCTAAGGCCCAGGGCCCTGTTGCTCTGTGCAGCCTTGGGACATTGTGCCATGTGTCCCAGCTATTCTGGCTCCAGCTGTGGCCAAAAGGGGCAAAGGTACAGCTCAGGCCATTGCTTCAGAGAATGCAAGCCCCAAGCCGTTGTGGCTTTTACATGGTGTTGGACCTGTGGGTGCACAGAAGGCTAAAGTGGAGGTTTGGGAGCCTCCACCTAGATCTCAGAAGATGTATGGAAACATGAATTTCCAGGCAGAAGTCTCCTGCAGTGGTGGAGCCCTCATGGAGAACCACTACTAGGGCAGTGTGGAGGGAAAATGTGGGGATGGAACCCCTACACAGAGTCCCCAATGGGACACTGCCTAGTGGAGCTGTGAGAAGAGGGCCACCATCTTCCAGATCTCAAAATGGTAGATCCACTGACGGCTTGCACCATGTGCCTAGAAAAGCTGCAGGCACTCAACATTAGCCCACAAAAGCAATTATAGTGATTTTACCCTGCAAAGCTCAGGGACAGACCTGCCCAAGGCCTTGGAAGCCCACCCCTTGCATCAGTGTGGCCTGGATGTGGGACATGGAGTCAAAAGAGATTACTTTAAAGCTTTGAGATGTAATGAGTGCCCTGTTGGGTTTCGGACTTACATGGGGCTTGTAGCCATGGACTCCTGCAATTATAGCCATGGGAGGACCCCTCAGCCCTTGTGTTTTCTGAAACTGGTATAGGAAACTGCTTGGAGTCCATGTGATGACACTGTTCCAGAGGTGGAGTTTACTCTGGGTCCCACACAACTCCTAAGAAACAAGCAGCTGTAGTATGGTGCCATTTTAAGAGCCCAACCCCTGCCAGTCTACTTTCTGCTCTAGGGTCCAATAGCCTCTGCATTTCCACATGCTTGGAGCCTCACTGACTTCTCTCCACATTTACCCAGAGGGTTGAAGCATCACAAATGCCAGCTGGGTCTAGCAGTGCAGCTGGGTCCACTATCACTCTAGCCCACACAGTGTCCTATACTTTGGGAAATGTGAAGCATAGCACACCAGGGAGGTTGACCCTGGGAAAAAATGATCCAAACCTTGCACTCCTCAGAACCTGAATGCAGCCTGCCTGTAGTCATTGTCTCCGAAAGCACCCAATTTCTTCAGTGGGAGACCCACTGAACAATTGCACATATCTTAAGTGGGCCTGAGAACTGGCTCATTCACATACCATCTCAGGGCTTAAAAATAGTCCTGTTCCATCTACTGACACTCCTGCTAGAACCTGAATATACTGTCCAGGGGCCTTGGAATAAACTCACTCTGCCTAACACAGCCAGCACTGCACGCCCATATTTGCCACCTGGGTTTATGGGCCCACCTCACGCAGCCCACGGTTGTCTCTTCTGACACTCATGCAAACCATTTAGGAGTGCAAAAGTTAGTACACTGCCACTACCACCACTGTCAACACCACACATGGAACATGTGGCTCAAAGGCCTGCTCATCTGTCCCACCACTGCCACCAGAGGGAACTAAGGACACTGTCTGGAGGCCTAAGGACTGGCTTGCCAGGATCCACCACTGCCAGTGCCTGTGGAAGTAGGAGGTAATTGAATAATGGGGGTGGGTCTTTCTTGTGCTGTTCTTGTGTTCCCACCCAAATCTCATCTTGAACTGTAGTTCCCATAATCCCCACATGTTGTGGGTGAGACCGAATCGGAGGTAATTGAATTATGGGGGCTGGTCTTTCTCCCATGCTGTTCTTGTGATAGTGAGTAAGTCTCATGAGATCTGATGGTTTTATAAAAGGGAGATTCCTGCACACACTCTCTTACCTGCCACCATGTAAGATGTGACTTTGCTTCTCATTTGCTTGCCATAATTGTGAAGCCTCCCCAGCCATGTGCAACTGTGAGTCAATTAAACCTCTTTCCTTTATAATTTTCCCAGTCTTGAGTGTGTCTTTATTAGCAGCATGAGAACAGACTAATACAGAGAAACTCAGTGAGATACAAGAGAATACAGGCAAACAACACTAGAAGTAATCCATTTAAGATCTAAATGAGAAATTCAACACAGAAATTGATACCATAAAAAAATCTAGAAATCCAGTAAATGAACAAATTTAAAAATGAAATAAAATATAATCAAGAGATTCAACAATAGAATAGATTGAGCAGAAGTATGAATTTGTAAAATTGAAGACAAGTCTTTCAAAAGAACCAAGTCAAACTAAACAAAAGAATATGAAAGAATAATAAAAGCTTGCATGATATATGGAGTATAAAATAGTGACAAAATATTGACTTTTGGAAGTTCAAGAAGAGATGGGCAAAGGCATAGACACCTATTTAATAAACTAATAGCTGAAAACTTTCCAAGTCTTAAAAATGATATAGAAATTCATATACAAGGAGTTCAAAGATCCTCAAACATATTCAGCTCCAAAATGTTTTTTTCTATGACATATTATAGTCAGAATTTCAAAAGTTAAACACAAAGAGAGAATCTAAAAACAAAGAAATGCATTAGGTCATATATAAGGGAATCTCCATCTGACTAATAGTGGATTTCTCAGTTGAAAACTTACAGGCCATAAGAAAATGGAATGATATATTCAAAGGGCTGAATAAAACAAACAAAAAAATCTGTCACTCAAGCATACTCTACTCAGCAAAGCTATTCTTTAAAAATGAAGTAGAAGTAAAGCCTTTTCCAGGTAAGCAAAAATTACATTAGTTCATCACTATTAGACCAATTTTACAAGAAATGCTTAAGGGCATCCTACATCTGGAAGTGAAATGGTACCTCACCATGATGAGAACACACAAAAGTATAAAACTTATTAGTAAAGCAGATACAAAAATGAGAAAGAGAAAGAAGCCAGACATTATCACTACAAAATAACCATCAAATCATAAAGGTTGTGAAAGGAATATTAAATCTTGGGACCTCAATTCACTATACCAAATGGAAAAAATTAAGCTGAAAGCTAAGTCCTGCCAGAAACTGCATGTCATTTTGTTTTCAAGCCGATATCTATAGATAAAATGTTAAATATATTCACAGATAGACACTCTATGTTTACCTTATCTTATGTGAAGTGCCAATTTACTGAGTGCTAGCTAAATAAATAATTGACTATTCCTCTACCTGTTCCTCTTCTCTTGCAACAAACAGGTGGGTTCAGTAATGTGTGCATACCCTCCCTCTTTCTATTGTAGCCTGCTTTCCCCTTTAAATATTGAAGGCTTCAAAATCTTTGAAAAAAAAGTATGGAGCACAGATTGTTCCTGTGGATTTGTTATCCTTTTGTCTGAGTACGTAATCTCAGCAAAGTAAATTTCTAAATTGATTAAGACCTGTCTCAGATACTTTTTGTTTTAGATGATAAACAACAGAAGAAGAAAGAAACAAAGGATATACAAAACAAATCAGAAAATAAATAATAAATAACAAAATGATAGAAATAAGTCGCCACCTATCATTAACAACCTTGAATGTAAATAAATTAAATTCCCCAATTAAAAGACAACAGACTGGCTGAATGGATTAAAAAGTGAAAAATAAAACAAGATCCAACTATATGCTGCCTACAACAAATTTACTTCACCTATAAAGACACACACAGACTGAAAGAGATGGAAAAATATATTCCATGTAAATGTAAACAAAAAGCATGCAAGAGTAGCTATGCTTATATACACAATATAGACTTGAAGTAAAAAAAATAGAGACAAAGATGATCATTGTATAATCATAGAGATCAATTGACCAAGAAGTTATAACAACTGTAAGTATATATACACATTAATATTGGAGTGCCCAGATACATAGTAAAAATATTAATAGAAGTAAAAACAGAGATAGACCCCAATAGAATAATAGTTAAGGACTTCAACACCCCACCTTCAGCACTGGATAGATCAACTATACAGAAAACTAATTAAAAAATTGAAGTTAATCTGTACATTGGACTAAATCTGTACAATTAAGACAATTTTAAGGTAATGAATGTGACAAGATTACAGGTACCTAACAGACATTTACAGAAATTACATCCAACAGTTTCAGAATCCACATTCTTCTCATCAGCACGTAGAGCATTCCCCAGGAGATATCATATATTAGGCCACATAACAAGTCTCAACAAATTTAAAAATATTGAAATTATATTAAGTATCTTCTGAGACCACAATTGAATAAAAACAGATATCAATAACAAGAGGAATTTTGGAAACTGTACAACTATTTGGAAATTAAACAACATGCTCCCAAACAACTATTAAGTCAATACAGAAATTAAGAAGAAAATAAAATAATTTCTTGAAACTAATGGAAAAGAAAATACAACATACTGAAACTATGGGATACAGCAAAAACAGTGCAAAGAAGGAAGTGTATAGCAATAAACAACTACATAAAAAAGTAGAAAGATTTCAAATAAACAACCTAATGAATCTCAAAGAACTGGAAAAGCAAGAATAAACCAAAAACAAATTAATAGACTAAAAGAAATAATAAAAATCAGAGCAGAACTAAATGAAATAGACACTAAAAATATACAAAATATCAACAAAACAAAAGTTGGTTTTTAAAAAGATAAACAAAATGGATAAACTGCTAGCTAGACAGAAGACCCAAATGAATAAAATCAGAAATGAAAAGGAAACATTACAACTGATACCACAGAAATACAGACTCAATAGCGACAATTATGAACAACTATAGGCTAACAAGTTGGAAACCTGTGAGGAAACAGATAAATTGCTAGACATATGCAACTTACCAAGGTTGAACTAGGAAGAAATAGAAAACCTAAACAGACCAATAGTGAATGATGAGATTGAATCATTGTTAAAAAGACTTCCAACAAGAAAAGCCCAGGATCAGGTGGCTTTATTGCTGATTTCTCCCAAACTTGTAAAGAAAAATTAACACCCATTTTAAAAAATTGATATCAAAAAATTGAGGAGGTGGGAATTTTTTCTAATTTATTCTATGATGTCAGCATTACCCTGACACCCAAATCAAAGCCACAATAAAGAAAGAAAACTACAGGCCAATATACCTGATGAACGTAGACAGAAAATTCCAAAAAAAAAAAAAAAAAAAAAAAAGAAACCAGAAAACTGAAACCAACAATACATCAAAAAATAAAATATAATGATCAAGTAAGATTTACCCCAGTGATGGAAGAATGGTTCAACATAGGCAAATCAACAAATGTAACTCGTCACATCAACGAAATGAAGCACAAAAAGTATATAATTTTTATAAACCAGAAAAAAAGCATATGATAAAATTCAAAATCTGTTTATAATAAAAATTCTCAACAAATTAGTTATAGAAAGAGTATGTCTCAACATAATGAAGTCCATATAGCACATGCCCATACTGAATTGGGAAAAGCTGAAAATGTTTCCTCTAAAAACTGGAATAAGGCAAAGATGCCCACTTGTACCATTCTTATTTAAGATAATACTGTAAGTTCTGCCAGTAGAATCGGTCAAGAGAAAAAAAAAGACATCCAAATTGGAAAAGAGGAAGTCAAATTGTTCCTCTTTGTGGCGACATGATCTTATATATAGAAAAACCTAAAGACTCCGGCAAAAAACTCTTAGAACTGATAAATAAATTCAGTAAGGTTGCATTATACAAAATCAACATATACAAATTGGTAGTATTTCTATACAATAGCAAACTAGCTAAAAATGAAATCAAGAAGGCAATCTTATTTACAATAGCCAATAGCTACAACAAATTCTTAGAAATAAGATTATCAAGAAGGTGAAAGACTTTTACAATGAAAACTATAAGATGCCGATTAAAGAAATTGAAGAGAACACAAATAAATGTAAATATATTACAGGCTAATAGATCTGAATAATTAATATTGTTAAAATGATGATACTGTCCAAAGCAATCTACAGACTCAGTGCAACCACTGATCAAAATATCAATGGCATTTTTCAAAGAAATAGAACATTCTAAAATGCACATGGAACTACAAAAGACCCTGAATAATCAAAGTAATATGAGTAGTAATCAAAACAGCACGGTATTGGCATAAAAACAGACATATAGACATACAGACAATATAGACATATAGACAATGTAACAGAATAGAGAACCCATAATTAAATTCACATATTAGAGCCAATTGATTTTCAACAAAGCACCAAGCATGTACATTGGTGAAATGACACCCCATTCAATAAATAATGCTGGGAATACTGAATATCCATATGCAGAAGCATGAAACTGGACCCCTTTCACCATAAACATGAATCAATTGAAACAGAAAAAAAAGACCTAAACGTAAGACCTGATATTGTAAAATTATTAAAAAAAAAATAGGAGGAATGCTTCAGAACATTGATCTAGGGAAAAGATTTTATGATTAAGACTTTATCTCCGTCTCAAAAAAAAAAGTATAAGCAACAAAAGCAAAAGTAAACAAAAATCACTATTTTAAAATAAAAATCTTCTATACATCAAAGGAAACAATGAATAAAATGAAGACACAACCTAGAGAATGGGAAGAAACGATTTACAAATTATTTATCTTGCAATAATACACAAGGAACTCAAACAGCTCAACAGAAAAAAAAATCCATTGAAAGTGGGCAAAAGAACTGTATAGACATTTCTCAAAAGAAGACACAAATGGCCAAGAAATACGTGAAACAATTACTCAACATCACTAATAATTAGAGAAATGCAAATCAAAACCACAATGAAATATCATCTCACTCTGGTTAGAATGGCTATTACAAAAAATTAAAAACAACTAAATAACAAATATTGGTGAGGATGTGAAGAAAAAGGAACTCTTACACATCATTCATGGAAATGTAAATTAGTATAGCCATTATGGAAAATAGTATGCAGGTTTCTCAAAAAACTAAAAAATCCAATCCAGCAATTTCACTACTGGGTATTTATCCAAAGTAAAGTAATCCGTATATTAAAGAGATACCTGTTCCCCCACATTTATTGCAGAACTGTTCACAATAGCAAAGATTTGGAATCAACATAAGCATCCATGAATGGATGAATGAAGAAAATATGGCATATATACACAATGGAATATTGTTTAGTCATAAAAAGAGTGAAATCCTTTAATCTGCTGCAACTTAGATGGAAATGGAAATCACTATTGTAAGTAAAATAGGCCCAGCATAGAAAGGCAAATATTACATGTTCCTGTTCATATGTGGGGGCTAAAAAGAAAGCTGATATCATGGAGATAGAGAGTAGAATAATAGTTATCATAGCTGGGAAGCTTTGGGTGGGGGAGAATGAAGTTGTCTAATGGATACAAACATAGAGCTAGATAGAAGGAATGAATTCTACTGTTCAATAGCGTAGTAGCAGGATATAGTTAACAATAATTAATTGTATACTTCAAATATACAATTAGAAGAGAAGATCTGACATATTCCAAAACAAAAGAATAATAAATATTTGAGGTGATAAATAAATACTCTGATTTGATCCTTGCACACCATATGCATGTATCAAAATACCACATTCATATCTATACCATAAATATGTGCAATTTTTTGTTGCAATAAAAGAAATAAAAAAGAGTTCCTGTTCTCAAAGAGCCCACAATCTAACTATGGGAGTTGGTGGATGGGGATAGAAAATTCACCAACTTGAATTATATCTCTCGAATTGATAATCCCTAAAAGAGCAAGTGAACCAATGCAAGAAAGCCTAGGGCCAGAAGAAAACAAAAAGAAAAAAAAAACATCCAGTAGTTTCTGAAAAGTCCAAATTGCTTCTGATAGTACACGCTTATTCATATTGTTACAGAAATCATTTACCCAATAATTGTGACTTATTCAATTACTTTTGCGAACCAACTTCTGGCTCTTGAAGTTTGTATGTGACTAGAGTTAATTATGTATTGGAAACTTAGTGGTACAGAAGGAATACCAAAATACTTTCCTTTACAAGTCTTGGATTTTATTTCCTGTCTTACTACTTGCTATTCATTATTTGACTTGAATGAAAGTACTTAACATCTCTAATACTCATTTCCCTTTAAAAGAGGCACAAACTCAGCCTCCTGATTGCTCACAGTTGTTCGGAGCCATGTTAGAGAAAATTTAGATGTCATCATTAATTTTGGTGATAATGGTCACATGTATATATTTTTTTACAATTAGAACAGAGTAGAGGATATTGTTATGGTCCACATATAATAAGGAGATTACCTGAGATGTTAGGCTGGAATGGTCATTGCCCCAGTACATGAAAGTGGCTTAAGTGAATTGTTATTAAAGGAGCTTAAATGCTTCTCAGAGCTGTTATGGACTGATCTCTAACACCGAGATCAATAAATATTTATACTGCCAATGCAGATTAGAAATCACTTCCACTTGGCAGTAGGAAATAAATGACAGAGAAACAATTGCTTAAGACTGGACATTTTCTTAAAGGTTAATACCTACTTTTTTCTTCTTTGCATCATTGTTCTAGCCATTTGCCTATTTACTTTTGTGTGTACTTCCCCTCCTGGTTCTTCTCTCTATAGCAGGAAGTAAACCTGTGTCTTTCAGGTTCCCTGCCTGATTGACTTCTGTTTAGATTCTGCCTGCGTAAGTGGCAGAAGACTGGAGTGTGGGAAGGCCAACTGAGTTCTTTCTCTGCCCCTCTTGCTGCTTCAGATGTAATCTTCAGCAGTAACTCTACCTTTATAATTCTAGTTCTTTTTAGACAGCTCCTTCTTGTCACCTGTTCCTTCCTTTATGGTCTCAGTCACACTTAGAAGCCCATACTATGGGTCTAACCCCTGCCTATGGTCCTTCCACAGAGTTCCAGCTCCCACCTGGTGGTCTCTTCTATGTGGCTCATCTGGTGGTCTCCTGGGAATCTCCTTCACTGGGGTTTTCGTTCCCCCTGGTGAGCCTGGCTTCTGGACTCTGGTATAATCATTTCCTTCTCCTTCTCTACCTCCAGTTTTAGGAGTACAAACAGCAGCTTCCTGCAGATGAATTATATCTGGGTAGCTCATCTTTCCCTGTTTTTGGCTTTTCTGAAAACTCTGTGACTAGTTTGCTGAATTAAATTCCCTGGTATGGTTCTGCTTTCCAGGCTGAACACAGGCTTGATATAATGATCAAATAACAGGTGGTGTACATCTAGCTCATTAAATAGTAAGAAACAAGTTAAAAGGAAGGGGTTGGGTGAGTGAAAAAAATATGTTTTTACCAAATTAAATTATGATTTATACACCATGAGAATCTTTTTTAAACAGTAATCACAATTTTGATATGTCTTAAATATTGATATGAATTATGTGAGAATATCAGCTAAAAGATGGCATTTTAAGACTTATACAGATTGCTCATTAACTGGTTTCTGACTACAAAATCAGATTTTTTTTCACCATGGCTATTTGTAGAATAATTTTGCCTAAATCTCATTAGCTCCTCATGGAGAATATTTTAGAACTACAATTTTCCAAGAAATAAACCAGGATAGATTTTTAATAAATTTCCCGGTAAGTCAATGTGTCAATCATTTAGAGGGATTGAGTAATTTCCTTTTAAAAATTTGAATAGACTCTGCTCTGAACTATGTGTCTACATCTATAGAATTAATATATATGAATGTATTGACAAAGATCAGAACATATCTGCAGGAAAACTTTAAACAATGGTGATATCTAAAAGCCTATACCACATGCTTTACTTATTTCAAACTTTTTATTTATTTGTAGATTTGAAGAATTACTATCCTCCTTGAATGATGAAACTGAAGGAAATATTTCTGCCCAATATAATCGCTATCTGATCCTGGCTTATGCTATAAACAAATGTGTCTACTATTTGCCTCCTTTCTCCAGTCTGAGGGGCAATCCCAGGATTTTGCTCAGGGATTTGTTGAACCAGAGATGCTTAGAGAAGATAAATTTAAGATATAGCTAAATTGTTGATGTCCTGTTTGATATGTTATAAATTTTCATCTTTTGTTTTCCCTCAGTAAGTACACTCAGATCTAGAATGATTGCTCCTGAGTAAGGGATGAATGATCCTCATTTAGACCTAAATATACAATTAAATCTCAATCTACTTCATTGACGACATTGAGAAGGGCTGAGAACCTCTACATACTCAAGTTAAAATATAATTTTAGAGGCCCATACTCTATTTCAATTTTTCTTATATACCAAATGATGATGAGTACAAATTTTCACCAAGGTAGAACACTAATGCAAAAGGTTGAAATCCAGCCTAAGAATGATAGGAGGAATAGATAGCTAGATTCTGATATAATCTATATTATTGTTCCCCAGCTTGAAATACTTGGTTTTTAAAAAATCATCATTATAATTATTAAGCAACAATTACATGACAGAAATCATATTAGACATTATGTATACCATGTGTATATAAGACTATCCTGCCTTTTTTCCAGTAGGCTTATTGGAATGCTCAAACTGAAAAACAAGATGGGAGGATCTTAGCTGATAAAAAGAATGGCAGAAAGTTGATGACTATTAACCATAAAAGTAAATGTATATTAATAAGAGATGCATACTGAAGTGTTAATGTGTGACATGTATGTTTGATTTACTTTAAAACACTCCAGCAAGAAGAAGTAAAAACAAAAACAATTAAGCAAACTGCATAAAGATAAATGAAACAATATTGAACCTAAGCAGTTGAGCAACATGATAAGTTTTGCATTTTGGAAAGATCACTATGGCTACCTGAGTGGGGAAAGACTAGAACATGGATTATATTTTCATAGTCACTTCTTTTTTCTATTACTTTGTTATGCTTGAACACTGGCTGTCCCTTGCATCTCCTTTACAAGGACTGCCCCTTTCTCTCTACATTGTTAGTTCCTGGCTGACAATTTTCCAAACCTGCTGACAGCCTGAAACTACAGGATTATACATTCGGTTTCAAGCTTCATCCACACTTAGAGATGGTTGCTACTAAACCATCCTACCAAATAAGATTATTACCCTACAAACTAACTGTGGCCCATATAAATCCCAAATTTACTATTGGCATATCAATTTATTTCAGTGAAGACTAGCCCTACATTTTGATTTGACTCATTAGCCCTGCCACTACTTACTTTATGTTTCCTTCTCTTCTTCATTCATTCATCTCTTTGAGGAACCACAACCCCAACAACTGAGGCTTGCTTGAGTTAAGTCCCATGCTGGGGAAAACTAAAGCAAGCTCTTTCAATCCTTATGAACTTGTATTAGCAAAGAAACATTTTATAAAGGATGATATATAAAGCATACATTTTTTAATTTATAATTTGTCATGGAGAAGAGTCACAAAAAATTATATTTTCCCAACATAGTTATTGTGAGATGAAAAACTCTTCAGAAAGAAAAAAGAAAATATTTGGGTATTAAAAATTGCAAAGATGCTTGAGCATTTTTGCTATTGTAAACTAAGTAATAGAGACTTATATAATCTGAGTAATGCCAGGTTATGCTTTGGTCAGCAAATAACTAAAAGTTTCAGAGGCTTAATTCAACAAAAAGTTATTTCATGTTCAAATTTCACTGCAAGTTCTTACAACAATCCAGGACAACTCTCCTCTGTGTAGCATCTCAGTGATTCTAGGTGTTCAAATTTCATACTTCTATTACATCAATATAAGATTTTCTAGGTTGTTGAGCATGGGGACAGAGAGACTGAACAATACCACATAGTTTTATCACTGCCTCAGCCTGGAAGTGGTATATATAAAATTCACATTTCATTAGATTCAACTAATCACGTGGACATGCTCAATGACAAGTAGCCTGAGAAGAGCCAACCTCTAGAAACTGGGAAATCTGGCTAAGAGGAGAACAATATACTGTTGAACAATATCATGTCTACCTTGATTATCATCTAAAATATAGAAACTCAAGAAGAAGGAGGGGGAGGGAAACAGAGAGGGCGAAGAAGAAGCCAAAGAATATAAATTTATTTTTGAAATTTGAAGAGAATGTAATATTTTGAAAGTGTTAATGAAGGTCAAATAGCAAAAATATTTGTAACAGTAGATTCTGGAAAGCACCAAATAAACTAAGATTTTATTAGGTGGGTTTCTTTTGGTGTTAGGCTGTTTCTGATCTTCCTTCCTACTGGAGATTAAAGAAGGCATTCATTAGGCCCATAACTGCCTAGCGAGTGCCAGGCACTGCACTGATCTGTTCTAGAAAAGATATCAGATGCAGGACATAAACTAGGATTGGGGCTATTGCTTGGTTAAAGTTATGGTGGTCCATCACTATCTACCATAGCTGATTTGTTTTCTTTCTTTCTTTTTTCTTTTTAATGAAGCACACTAATTTAATGAGGACATAATAGAACCTGAATTCTTTATGCCTTTGAGAATGACATTTTATTCTGCCAACCCAGGATGTGGTATATACCAAACTTGGCTTCACATACCCATTCCCAACCAATTACTGATAAGGAGATAAAATTACCCTGATTAGCCTAGACCAACCAAGCATGGTCCAGCTATTCTGAAACATACAGTCCTAGGTATATTTCCTGAGTATAGTAAAACATTTTTCAAAACAGTTTTTACTTCAATGAATATATTAAAACATTTTTAAAAGTGTTGTAACACTTTTATTTTAGACCTTTATTTTATATTAAAACATATGTTTTAAAAATCAAACTGGCAAAGCTGGAATTTCCTATGATGATGTCAGTAGTTTTTAAATTCATTGAAATATTCATATCAAGTATTCAAAAAAAAAAAAAAAAGATGGAGGCTGGGCACTGTGGCTCACTCCTGTAATCCGAGCATTTTGGGAGGCCGAGGCGGGTGGATCACTTGAGGTCAGGAATCTGAGACCAACCTGGCCAACATGGTGAAACCCTGTCTCTACTAAAAATATGAAAATACACACACACACAAATGAGTCAGGCATGGTGTTAGGCACCTGTAGTCCCAGCTACTCGAGAAGCTGAAACAGAATCACTTGAACCTAAGTGGTAGAGGTTGCAGTGAGCCAAGATTCGCACCACTGTACTCCAGTCTAGGCGACAAGAGCAAGACTCTGTCTCAAATAAAAAAAAAAAAAAAGATGGAGCACTAATGTTTTACACTTGCAAGCATTGTGGAAATACCATTCTGTGCTGGTCTAGATCTCATTAAATTACCATATTGACCTCAAATAGACAGAAGTATGTGCTATATGTGAAGACAGGATTTCTGGGTCACTGTCCAATTATGAATTCACCAAAAATTTCTCCTGGCCTCTATCACACACTATGGTCATCAACACTGTTCTTGAAATAGTTGTGCAGGGGATCCTAACCTTTGACGACACATTGATTCATGGAGAATGGTGAGCAGTAGGTATGGCACAGCATGTTCACTACTAGTTGGTAATGTAGAGAAATGGTCAGACCCTGTTCTGCTCACCTGTCATCCAAGGAACTAAAGACTATGTCTGGAGTTTGTTACCTGGATTATGGAACATGAAGCTCCAGCTGCTTCAGGCTTTGTGCATACTTAATAGCTAAGGATATCAGTATACCCAAATAGCTAAGGATATCAGTATACTGTGCCATAGCTCCAACCAGCATACAGGTGACTAAGAATTAGAATAGTGTTGAACGCTCATATGAATCACCTGATATATCAATTAGACAGATTAGGTAGCCTTCAAAAAATAGTTGTAAAATATTATATGCACATATTGCATTTGTTTATAATCACATTTTACTCTTTCCCTATATATTTTCTCTTTATGTTTGTTTTGTCTCTCTAATGAAATTCCAACACCTAGTCTTAAAATTATAGTCCCTTGTACTCTTGGTGAAAGAAACTCTGCTGATTAATGGGAATAAAATGTTAGTGCTCCTACATAGCTGATATTTTTGTTTTCTATAAAGTTAGTTTAAATTAAGAGACAAATCAATGATTTCAACAAAAGTATTTATTGTCTTCTTTTTAATCTGAAGATTTGTATAAGAACTAATAATTATTTTGCAAATGTTTCTTTTGAACTGTTATTTTTATAAAAGTGTCTTATAAAACATTTGGATTTTAGAGATTATTACTATATCCCCCGGAAGTAAACTTCATATCTGAAACAATTAAAGTTCATATGGAACGAAAAAAGAGTCCGCATCGCCAAGTCAATCCTAAGCCAAAAGAACAAAGCTGGAGGCATCACGCTACCTGACTTCAAACTATACTACAAGGCTACAGTAACCAAAACAGCATGGTACTGGTACCAGAGCAGAGATATAGATCAATGGAACAGAACAGAGCCCTCAGAAATAACGCCACATATCTACAACTATCTGATCTTTGGCAAACCTGAGAAAAACAAGCGATGGGGAAAGGATTCCCTATTTAATAAATGGTGCTAGGAAAACTGGCTAGCCATATGTAGAAAGCTGAAACTGGATCCCTTCCTTACACCTTATACAAAAATTAATTCAAGATGGATTAAAGACTTAAACGTTAGACCTAAAACCATAAAAACCCTAGAAGAAAACTTAGGCATTACCATTCAGGACACAGGCATGGGCAAGGACTTCATGTCTAAAACACCAAAAGCAATGGCAACAAAAGCAGAATTGACAAGTAGGATCTAATTAAACTAAAGAGCTTCTGCACAGCAAAATAAACTACCATCAGAGTGAACAGGCAACCCACAAAATGGGAGACAATTTTCACAACCTACTCATCTGACAAAGGGCTAATATCCAGAATCTACAATGAACTCAAACCAATTTACAAGAAAAAAACAACCCCATCAAAAAGTGGGCAAAGGATATGAACAGACACTTCTCAAAAGAAGATATTTATGCAGCCAAAAGACACATGAAAAAATGCTCATCATCACTGGCCATCAGAGAAATGCAGATCAAAACCACAATGAGATACCATCTCACACCAGTTAGAATGGCAATCATTAATAAGTCAGGAAACAACAGGTGCTGGAGAGGATGTGGAGAAATAGGAACACTTTTGTACTGTTGGTGGGACTGTAAACTAGTTCAACCATTGTGGAAGTCAGTGTGGCGATTCCTCAGGGATCTAGAACTAGAAATACCATTTGACCCAGCCATCCCATTACTGGGTATATACCCAAAGGACTATAAATCATGCTCCTATAAAGACACATGCACACGTATGTTTATTGCGGCACTATTCACAATAGCAAAGACTTGGAACCAACCCAAATGTCCAACAATGATAGACTGGATTAAGAAAATGTGGCACATATACACCATGGAATACTATGCAGCCATAAAAAATGATGAGTTCATGTCCTTTGTAGGGACGTGGATGAAATTGGAAATCATCATTCTCAGTAAACTATCGCAAGGACAAAAAACCAAACACCACATGTTCTCACTCATAGATGGGAATTGAACAATGAGAACACATGGACACAGGAAGGGGAACATCACACTCTGGGGACTGTTGTGGGGTGGGGATGGGGGAGGGATAGCATTAGGAGATATACCTAATGCTAAATGATGAGTTAGTGGGTGCAACACACCAGCATGGCACATGTATACATATGTAACTAACCTGCACATTGTGCACATGTACCCTAAAACTTAAAGTATAGTAATAAAAAAAAAGTCTTTAATTGTGAGCGAGGAACTCAGATTTCCCTTCATCTGCACTAATTCAGCTTACTCTTATCTGCACTTTTACATGGGGGAAAAATAGAACAGCAGAGAGCCAGTGCATTCTTCAGGTTAGTGTCTTGCTTATACACAAGAGTGTTTAATCACAGCAAGTGATTAAAGACTTAACTGTTACCTTTGTGTTTGATTTTCCCTCCAGCTTTTTTTTTTCTAGTAGTTTTTGTTTTAATTATTATTATTATTATTATTATTATTATACTTTAAGTCTTTTAAAATGTATACATACATTGTAAAATGATTATCACAATGAAACCAATTGACATATCCATCACCTCACATGTCATTTTGTGTGGGCGTGTGGAGAGAACATTTAAGCAAATTTCAAGTATACAATACAGTATTAACTCTAATCATGAGGCTACTTTAGATCTTCAGAACTTATTTATTCTGCCAAACTAATACTTTGTACCCTTTGACCAACATCTCTCTATTTCTCCCTCTCCTCCACCCTCAGCCCTTAGCAACCATCATTCTACTCTCTGCTTCCATGTTTGACTTTTTTAGTTTTCACAATAAGTGAGATTACGTAGTATTTGTTTTTCTGTGCCTGGATTATTTGACTTAGCATAATGTCTTCCAAGTTCATCCACATTTTTGCAAATGGCAGGATTTCCTTTTCTAAAAGGTGGAATAATGTTTCTATGCGTGTGAGTGTGAATGTGTGTGTTTGTGTGTGTGACATTTTCATTTGAAAATTTTCCATTGAAGAACACTTTGGTTTATTCTTTATCTTGGCTATTGTAAATAATGCTATAATGAACATAGGAGTGCAGCTATCTCTCTGAGATACTAATTTCATTTCTTTTGGATATATACCAAGAAGTAGTATTGTATTTTTTAGTAGAGATGGGGTTTCACCATGTTGGTTAGGCTGGTCTCGAACTCCTGACCTCGTGATCCACCAGCCTCGGCCTCCCAAAGTGCTGGGATTACAGGTGTAAGCCACCGTGCCTGGGACTTTTTAGCTTGATGAAATCCCATTTGTTTCTTCTTAGTTTTGTTGCCTGTCAAATCCATTTGTTTTGGGGATCATATAAAAAAATATTTCCCAGAACAATGTTCAGGAGAGTTTTCCCTAAGTTTTCTTCTAGTATTTTTATAGTTTTGGGTCTTACATTTAAGTCTTTAATTCATTTTGGATTGATTTTGGTACATGGTGTGAGATAAGGCTCTAATCTCAATTATGTGAATATCTAGTTTTCCTGACATCATTTATTAAAAAAAGTGTCCTTTCCTTATTGTCTATTTTTGGCATTTGGCTGTAAATGTGCAGATTTATTTCTGAGCTCTCTATTCTGTTCTATTTAGTCAATATCTCTCTTTTATGCCAGTACCATGATGCTTCTATTGCAAAGCTTTGTAGTAGATTTTGAAGTCAGGTAATATGATGCCTACAATTTTTTTTTTTATTATTATACTTTAAGTTTTAGGGTACATGTGCACAACGTGCAGATTAGTTACATATGTATACATGTGCCATGTTGGTGTGCTGCACCTTCATCATTTAACATTAGGTATATCTCCAAATGCTATCCCTCCCCCCTGCCCCGACCCCACTACAGGCCCTGGTGTGTGATGTTCCCCTTCCTGTGTCCATGTGTTCTCATTGTTCAATTCCCACCTATGAGTGAGAACATGCAGTGTTTGGTTTTGATGCCTACAATTTTATTCTTTTTGTTCTAGATAGCTTTGGCTTTTCTGGGTCTTTCTTGGGTTTTTATGAATGTTAGGATAGTTTTTTCTATTTCTGTGAGAAATTACTTTCAAATTTCAATAAGAATTTTGTTGACTCTATAGATTGCTTTGAGAAGTATATGCATTTTAACAATATTAATTCTTCCATTTCATGAACACAAAATATCTTTCCAGTTATTTGTGTCCCTTTTAGCTTCTTTTGTCAGTGTTTTTCTAGTTTTCAATGCACAGGTTTTTTAACTCCTTGGTTAAATTTATTCCTAAGATTTTTTGATGTTATTGTAAATGAGATTGTTTCTAGGTCCCTTTTTCAGAAAGCTTTTTATTACTGTATGAAAACACTACTAATTATTTTATGTTGATTTTGTATCCTGAACTTTACTGAATTCATTTATTAGTTCTAACTTTTTTGGTGGACAACTAGTACTTTCATTTTGGCTTGTTGTTTTAATTGACAGCCCTAATACCTCATAGCTCAGCTGTCTCCAGCTTAGCTCAGCTCTTGACATGAAAGATTGCCTTTATTGGTAATTTTTTGCCTTCTTTAAAAAAAGGATCTTTAAATAAATATTTAATCCATAATACATTTATTTATTTGCCCACTTTTTAATATATATAAACAAATTCCTTCTGTGAACCGCTACTAACTCTGATCTGACTAATACCTTGGCCCTGACCCCATACTTCACAGTCACCTTCTTGGTAATAACTGTTAGTTGACATATCTGTATATGTCTGTATTTTGCCTTTATGTGCCTGTATGTACATACATATGTGTACATCTGTATACATTTGTATATATCTATATACATTTGTGTCTATCTCTATATTGACATATCTGTACACATCGGTATAATGTTTGTATTTGTCATCATCTGTAAGGTTTCTTTGCCAACTAGAATATAATCCTTGAATTATTTTATCTTATTACATGAATATATTAAGAAAGAAGAAACCTTGAAATTATTCACAAAAGCAAGAATATATGAGTCTCTTCTTTATTCATTTAAATTTTCAAAAGTTGTCATGCATTGAATGACTAAACTGAGCTGAGAACAGAGAGCTCTATATGGAGACTCCATGTTTAGAACAAATATCAGCCTGCAAGGGGCAGGAGCCTGACTTCTTTGGGGTCTCTTTAGAGCCCATCTATCTCTGTGGTGACCTCTACCTAGCCTGGAGCTGCATTGCCAATATTTGCTTTGTTGAGATAATCCAGAGAGCTGTCATATATATCAAGTTTGTTGGTGTCACTTTTAGTTGCTGCTATAATGTAGCTATAGCTAGAGATTTCTGAACATGGATTGAGAGGGTTTTTTCCTCCTAACACAAAATGTGTCATATCTTTTCCAATTCTCTTTTCAAAATCCACTTCTCCAATTCTATGACACTGACTTGGTATCCTACAATTCAATTTAAACTGACTAACTGCTCAGGTTTAATGTCAGACTCCACAGGTTTAAGAGCTCAATCTCACAACCTCACTTCAGATGCAAATTTTTACTTCTAATTGACTGGCTATAAATTGGGGGTCCCCATGGCTTCCTCCTCAGGTTTTGCAATTTGTTAGAATGGCTCACAGAACTCAGGAAGCCATTTACTTAGGTCCACTGGTTTATTATAAAGGATAAAAATAACTGTCAGGTGAAGAGGTAGATAGGATGAAGTTCAGAAATGTCCTAATGGTGGGACCTTCTGTCACTCATGGGGTTGAGGTGTACTACCCTCCTGGCATGTGAAAGTGTTCCCCAATTAGGAAGCTCTCAGAACTCCATCATTTAGTTTTTATTTTTATTTTTAGTTTTTTAGTTTTTAATTGAGATTTCATTATGTAAGCTTGATTGTTTATTAACTAACTCTCCATCTCTCTCTCTCTTCCCCAAAGGTTGGCATGGAGGGGTGGGTGGTAGGGAGGGGGGTAGGACTGAAAATTCCAAGCTTCTAATTAAGGCTTGGTCTTTCTGGCAACTAGCCCTCATCCTGAAGCTATCTAGGGGCCTGCCAAGAGTTCCTTTACTAGAACAAAAGACATTCCTATCAACCTTATCCCTTAGGAAGTTCCAATGGTTTTAACAGCTCTGTGCCAGGAACTGGGGACAAACACCAAATATATTTCTTATTTCACCACAAGTTGATATGAAAATGTATAAGCCTATATATTTAAAAATATGTAAATATACTTAAGAGGTTAGTGACAAACTGGGAAAGGGCTGGGTGTGAATGTGCCGAATATCCTTATAGATACATCAGTTGCTTTTGCTGCAATAATGTTGCATAACAACCACCCACAAAATCTTAGTGGCAAAAAGCAATAACATTTTATTTAGCTCACAGGTCCGTGGGATTTAGCTGACCTCCTCTGGACTCATTTATGTGCCTGTGGTCAACTGAGGGGTAGTGAGGCAGCTCTACTGATCTTGTCTGGGCTCTCTCCCAAGACTAAGAGCCGGCTGGCTGTCACTTAATACAGGATAGACTTGGTTGGGATGATAGGGAATGATTCAGTTGTATTCACGTGTCTTTCATCCAGGAGGCTATCAAAGATAAATACTCACGGCAATGGCAGAGAAATGAAAACCAATAGAAATGCAGAAGCGTTTTCAAGTATCTGCCTGTATCACATTTGCTAGCATGCCATTTGTCAACATAGGTCACATAATTGATCACCATGTTAAGGAGTGAGAATAACATATTTTCCTGAGTAGGAGGGTACTGCAAAGTTACATGGCAGAAAGACAGTTCCCTGGAAACAGGGAGGGCAAAGAATTGGGCCTTCAATGCAGTCAATGCCTAATACTATGTAAATAGCTCCTATTAATCTATAAGAAAAATTATAAACACTCCACTAGAAAAATAAAGACAAGGAGATAATTGCCAGATAGAAAATACAAATAGCCACAGGGTACAATACTACATTGAAAACATTTTTTACAATGAATTAATAACAATAATAACACTTTAATGCTAGTAAAGTGGTCTAACATGTATTAATATTCTATTTTGTAGGGAGGGTAATAATTTAGGGGATAGTTTGCAGAAAAACCGTTAAAGTGTATGAAATGTTATTTCTGAGCAATATTAAGTTTATAATCTAGTAAATCCTCTTCTTAGAATATAGACTTTAAAACACTGTTAATTGGAATAACTGTTCACCTGCAATTATTTTGCCAGCATTATTCATATGAGTTAAAGATAAAAATGCTCTCTCCGTCTAAGAGTTGGAGAGCATGGGAAGGTTCATGAGTATTAGGAACTGGGCTGGATAGCAAGTGAGCCTGGCAGGATAGCATGCACACTGCCTTCCTGCCAGGATGAAAGGCATGGCCCGAAGTGTGTGATCCAACACTTACAAAGTGGTTTGAGTTCACATTCCTTACTTGGGAAAAGCATGATAGGAATATTGACAGTATTTCTGGAAATATGACGAGAGAAGGGACTCCCTCATTGAAGGAATAAAGACAATGGGTATAAAGCTGGGAGCCTGGGGTTTGAAATTTGACAATAATTATTATTTTGTTAAAGCAACTACCATTTATTGAGGACCACACTACATTCAAAGGGTCAGGGATCAGAGAAGTTAAATGTCTTGTTCATGGCCATACAGTTGGCTCAATGGAAAAGCCAGAGTGTGAAAATAGGGCTTTCTGACTCCAAAGCCAATGCACTTTCTACTATTCCACAGAGCAAAACACTCTTATTTCATCTGCACCTTGGATGATAAAGATGTAGAATGACCAAGCATAGCTGAAATGAGATGTGAAAATACAGTTCCTCGGGCACAAAATAAAATACTAGCTTGGGTATTGCTTATTGTAGTAGGCAGAATATAGCTCTGAAGGTGTTCATATCCCAGTCCCAGAAACCTGTGAATATATAACCTCAGTAGAAGGGACTTTTTAGGTGTGATAATGTTAAGTATTTTGAGATGTGGAGATTATCTGTATTGTTTAGGTAAGCCCAACATAATCACAAGCATCCTTATAAGAGAGAGGAAGGAGGGTCGGTGTTTGAGTAAGAGAGGTGATGATAGAAGCAGAGATCTGAGTGATATGAGGAAAGATCCATAAGCTAAGAAATGTGAGTAGCCTCTAAAAGCCGGAAAAGGCAGGAACACAGGTTATTCCTTAGAGCCTCCAGAAAGAATGCAGCCTTGCAAACTCATTTTAGACTCCTTACTTTCAGAACTGTAACATAATAAATTTGTGCTGTTTTAAGCCATTAAGTTTTTAGAAATTTGTTATAGCAGCATTTGGAAACTAATGCAGTTACCTTACTTATTCTGTTTAAATTATGGATACAAATAGGTTTGGGTTCTCTATTTGATTATTACATATGGATACACATTTCATTATCCTATTTTACCTAATTTAGGACAAAATCAAGTCTTTAAATAATTGCATGGGTATGTTTCTGATAATGAGGAAATCCAAATAAATAAATAATTTCATATAAAGATAGAGAAAGAGGTTGATTCCATTAGACAGTCAGCTAATGACACTGTTGAGGATAAACCCTAAATCTGTGTATTAAGGGATATGTTCCAACTAGAAAGATAGAGGAGAAACAGTGTACAAAAGGATGCAAGTTTCAGTTAGGGTATAAATGCAAGATTCAGTTAGAGTGCAGATGATACTGATCACCTCCTTGATAGGGTCTTGACTAGTCACAGGAAATATTCAAGATGTCTTTCTGTATGCCATGTTTTGCATGGTATATTTCAGTCTAGAGGGCCTTATGCATTAATACAGGGAGCTACACAGTGGTCATTTACTTTCAGTCAGTTCCAAGATGCATTGGCTTTGACTTCCCTGTGGCATATAAACACAGCTAAGTTCTGGATTGATTAGGTACCAGGCTTAAAACAAAGCCTATTTACTTCAGCAGTAAAAGTCACACAAGCCACCTCCAAGTCCTTTATCGAGGGTTCAGTGTATCCAGAAGGAAGCAATGACCATATTCTTTCCCCTCAAAAATAGGTCCCAAAAGCCAGCACTCACAGAGCCCGGGAAGCTTTCAAACGAAGTATGGCTAGATGTGGATATGACGGCGGTGGCTTCCTTTGGATCAGAGTTTGGCTGAGCAGGGTCCCCTGAAAAAATAAGCCAAATAGCAATTGCTGCAGTCCTGTCCTATGAGCAGATTGCCTCTTTTATCATATTTCTCTCAGCACTACTGAGTGCATGGCAGTGAGGTTTAGTGCTTACTAATCTACCACTTTTTTTTCCCAAGAAAATACAAAGCAATAATTAAAAGCAAGAAACAATTTCTAATTCTTAGCTTCCACTCCTTCTATTTCTCTTGTCTATTGTAATGAAAAAGGAGGATACTTTGTGATAAGGGGAGCTCTCACTAAGCATATATGATAGAAGTTAATTTTTTTCAACTAACATCAGTTAATCTATTTCAAAATTCTAACTGGTGCAGGGCATGCTAAACTTGGCCATGGATGTACTCCAGAAAAAAATTAAAATAATCACTTTTTTTGAAATAGAATATCTCCTGCTAGAGATGGCTAGTGATACAAGTCACACAATTTTCATTGTATTCTCAAAATTACATATTCTGAAATAAAACATTTGGAGGACAACATTATCTGATGAGAGATTTTAAAATAATCTACATTGTGTTTAATTACGCAAACAACCTTCTGTAAAGCTTCATTTTTTTGTTAAAGGAGAGATGAGTTTTGTTAATCTGTAGATCTTGAATACATGAGAAAAATCTTATTATACGGTAGTTTGACTATGTGACTAAAATAGGAGGAAAACTATTCTCAGGCCAAGATAAAAAATTTATCTACAAAAAATAGTAATCATTTTTAAAAACTGATTTTAGATATGTGGTACACTGTTAGGCAAGTTGTATTATGATTCTATCCTATTTTTTGGGGGAAGCATATTACAAAAATTCAAATTCAAAAAAAGGTGATAATTATGAGGCCCACTACAGATATTAAGTACTACCACTAACAGTGAGGACCAGTGTTAAGCAACATCACAAGATTTAAAAGCAGTTTTTCCTGATATCCTCATGTCTAAATGGTGAGATCCCATTCTGTAGGTATGATAAACCATACTGTAGGTTAACATTCATGGAATGTAGAGTCAAGCTTTACCCTTTTCCAGAACTTACAATAGACATTTAATAAATTATTATAATTAATAATGAATAATAACCCCTTGTTTTTGAACCTGTCTTTGCATATGCAGAAGATGATTCCATCAGCACCTAATAGACTTGAATATTCACAATTATATCACAGGAGGACAATATCAGCTTCCTGGAAAATTGCAATAGCTAATCAAGATGCTTGCAATCTTGCTGAAGTTACACCTTCCAAACAATTGCATACACAATCTGGTCAATATCTTAAGTTGGTGTTGGATTCCACAAAACTGTTGTGGAATCATTTTTTGTGTGTGTGGCTCTTACTTCAGTGGATGGTAATATCTTTGAAAGTTGAAATGAGGATGTTGTTTTTCTGTTGTTTCATGTTTCAATTGAAAATCTAAGGGAATTTACAAATGTGCTAATTTTAAGTGACCATTATATTATAAGCCAATCTACTCTAACAGAAAAATTGGGAACGTAAATAAGCATTGTGTGGTTTAAAATTAATATCTAATTAATTTGAATGGAAATAATGATATTTGTATAAGAAATAGTTAAGATCTTGGCTGAAATTCAGAAGCATCCCTATGACATATTTTAAAATTGACAAAGCTAGAAAAGGATTTTATCCTAAACCATTAGTTATTATCAAATGTCACTGTATTCAATATATCACTTTGAAATTAAATAACAGTATAGGAATTGTTATAATTGTTTTGTGATTGTAGAAATCTTTGTTGATGTAACAGTAAGAATACAAACAATATTACCAAGTAAAAAAAGTAATGCTTTGTAGATTCTATGATCACATACCTGAGAAACCCTGAGTTGTCATCTCAAAACTATTAGATATAATGAGAAAATTTCACTAAAGGGGCTGGATAATAAAAAATAATTAAAACACAATGGAGATCCTGCATCCCAGCAACAACTACCTAATTTTGTAATTGATAAGGAAATACTACTCATAGCATAATAAAAAGATAATATTTGGGGGAATAGGAAATAAGCAATCTGGATGAGTCATATAAAGAAACTGCAAAATTGAGACATGCTGAAGGACACATATTTTATACATGAGAGTGGATATCCATGCAGGAGAGTGGAGGAGAAACTTATTATGAATAGAATAGAAACGAAGTAAGAACTGAGCCTTGATTACACCAATGACAAGAGCACATGATGAAGACAGGATTATGTTTAATTCAGCTTCTTCTCCCTGAGGTTAAAAATATATGGAGAATAAAAGATAGCTGGCATATGTATTTTGTTGTAAACTGTTTCCACAACGTATTGTGAAAATAGGTATTCTGTCCAAGTTAACTTCCAGTTTGCATACTGTACCAATTAGCATTTCAACAGAAGTTTTCTATGGCTTTTTTTTTTTTTTTTTTTTTTTTTTGAGACGGAGTCTCGCTCTGTTGCCCAGGCTGGACTGCAGTGGTGCGATCTCGGCTCACTGCAAGCTCCGTCTCCCGGGTTCACGCCATTCTCCTGCCTCAGGCTCCTGAGTAGCTGGGACTACAGGTGCCCGCCACCACGCCCAGCTAATTTTTTTGTATTTTTAGTAGAGACAGGGTTTCACCATGTTAGCCAGGATGGTCTCGATCTCCTGACCTCGTGATCCACCCACCTTGGCCTCCCAAAGTGCTGGGACTACAGGCGTGAGCCACCACACCTGGCCTTCTGTGGCATTTTTAATGTTACTTAAAGGTACAACTAGGCAAGAACATAAAAATGAAGTATATGTCAATGACAAATTTTGATAACACTGTGTGACAATCTCATGCAAAGGGAACTAGAAAATAATGTATATGAGAAAAAAGGGGAAAGTTTACAATTGTTATAAGCAAATAATCCACACGGAAAAAGAGGAAGGCAAACATAAGAGCCTAAGGATCTATTTATGTCACTTTTTAGGGTCCTTGTCATTGCCAGCCTTAAACACAGAGAGATGAGGTAAATCACCTGGGGACACAGCCTAGATCAGCAAGTGTTTACTGACTTCCTGCCAGTGACAGATACTGAGCTAAATGTCAGGCACTCGGTAAAAGGGTAGATGCAAACACACACACCCCCTCACACAGCGCATAAAAAAATTACTTAAAATGGGAGGAATGCGTATAACCATGAAAATATTTATTTAAAAAAATAGCTAACCATCAAGAGGAAAGGGGGCATAACTACTTAATTTGGGGAAATATTTTAATCGGCAAAGGTATAAATGTTTCATAGGATATCAAACCACTACTGGGAATTATGATGAGAAAGAGAAATACATTAAGACTGGACAGGGGTAGGAGTTTACACAAAAATGAGAGAGGGCTGTGAGAGGATTTGGAAGAAGCTCCAGTATCATCCACTAAAGATTTTCTAATGGCACACAGTTGGACTTTCCTCTGAGATTTCCCTATAAATGCTTGAATCTTCTACTTTTCACATTTATCTTCCCATAGGCTTAGAATAGCAATAAGTGCTTACATCTAGAAAGCACTTTGCAAATTCATTGCAGGCACAATTATTATGACTAACCCTTTGTTCATGAGGTTAACTTGCTAATTATATGCATAAAACACTCTAAAATATGTTATAATGAAGCTTATTATTTGTATGAGGGCTTGAAAAGGCATATTCTGACAATGACTACTATAAGTCACAGTATCTTATAGCCATCCTCTTAATGCAACAGTAGTCTAAACGCCCATAAGAACCAAAATTGTTTATTCAAGACGTGTGCTTACAAATAGATATTGCTCATTAAATATAAAAGTGGACATTAAATATAAAATTGGAGTTATTTGAGAATGTTCCTTAGGGTAATAAAAAGTGATTTTTTCAGAATGATCATTCTCTTAAAAAAATACAGTGGTGCCACCAGGTTTTAACACTTCTCTGGGTTATGATATAAAGCAATCGAATTTGCTTATGGATTTTGTTTGACCAAGTGCTGCATTCTCTAAAACTACTTTATCTGTATATGATAAAGTACAGATTTAACTTATCATACGGCTTTTACAGTTTTTTTTTTCCACCTCAGTTCAAGGGATCCTCCCACCTCACCTCACAAGTAGCTGGGACTACAGACATGCACCATCAAGCATAATTTTTGTATTTTTTGTAGAGACAGTGTTTTACCATGTTGCGCAGGCTGATCTCGATATCCCAAGCTCAAACAATCTGCGTGCCTCGGCCTCCCAAAGTGCTGGGATTACAGGTGTGAGCCACGGTGCCCAGCTGGGTTTTAGAGTCTTCAAAGAAAAAGATAAAGCTCTATTTTTTTTTTCTTGTTTAAACGCTCTCTGTTCCAGTACCTGTGCTGGATGCTCTATAGAATTTACTATTTAATCTTGTTTTACTGAAATAAAAACTATTACTTAGATAAATGTACAGATATTAAGTGTTCACTTTGATGAGTTTTGACAATTGTATGAACCTTTGTCATTTGCAACAATTGCAGAAAGTGATTCATAGACAATTTTCATCCCTGCAAAATATTTAATTCTATAACTTTTCTCAACTCCTTGTGCTTCCTGTTTCCATCAAACACTATCATAATAGACTAGGTTGCCTATATTTGGATTTAAGAGCATTGGGATATATAGTTTCATTCACTGTGTGATTGCTTTTGCATCATCTAATGTTTCCTACATTCATTCATGTTGGTGTATGAATCAATAATTGTTCATTTTATAGCTGATTAGCATTTCATGGCAGGAACGTGTGTAAATTATACATAAGGATGTACATTGGTGTACAAGTATATTTTTATTTTTTAGTTTTTGGAACAGTCTCTGTTGCCCAGGCTGGAGTACAATGGCGTGATCATGGCTCACTGCAGCCTCAACCTCCCAAGTTCTAGGGATCCTTGCACTTCAGCCACCTGAGTAGCTGGGACTACAGATGCACACCACCATGCCTGGCTAATTTTTTAATTTTTTATAGAGATGGGGTCTTGCTATATTTTCCAGGCTAGTCTCAAACTCCCACGCTCATGAAATCCTCCTGTCTTGGCTTCCCAAAGTGGTGGAATTACAGGTGTGAGCCACCATACCTGGCCAATGATGCTTACTGAAAAAAACATTATTTTTAATCTTCTTTTTTTTTTTAAGTTTACATTGCTTGGGAACACAAATACAATTGCTTTTTGTATTTTGACTTTGTATATTACAAATTTGTTAAATTCTGTTATTGCAATAGATTGTTTTAAGATTTCTTTGGATTTCTCATGCACAAATCATGCTTGAATAAGGCAAAGATATTCACTATAAACACTTCCATTCAGTATTTTGCTGTAGGTGCTATCTAGTGCAATAATGCAAGAAAAAGATATAAAAGGCAAAAAGAAAATTTAAGAGGACGTGAATCTCTCATTGTTTCCAATAACATGATTATGTTGATTTAATTTTTACTACATCTTTTCCGAGAAGAGGTTTTTCTTCAGTTTTTTTTTCAATCTCCATATACGCCTGATCTCAAATTTTAAGAGAGCCATGTACTCTCTTATTTTATATGTTTTAGATACAACTGCATAAAGTCTTTAATTATTACATAAAATGAACAATCTATTTAAAAAGGTAAAGCAAGCATGGAAAAAATCCTGTGATTCAGGGATTATAGCCCAAATGGAAAACAGTCTTAGAAAGGGATCTCAGAAAAACATAATAGACTGGTGTCTATAGGAAAAGTAATAGTATTACAGATCTAAATTAATTACCTCAAAGAACAGGACTGACTGAGAAAATATTGAGTAAGAGAAGAAAAAAACTGCATTTGGGAGAAGATGAGCCAGAAGTAGTGGTAGGGGGATGGCTGTATATAAGTTACGAGAGAGGATATACAATCTTCCCTGATCTTATGTAAGTTACCTAGGACTATTTATCCCACTTTGATAGTTCAATGAATTCAGAACTAGGTTTTGAATCTTTGAAATGGCTTGCATACTGTGATGATCATTGTAATTTGGGTGGTCATAGGGGCACTATTTCCCTTTCAAATCCTTGGGTAATTAGCTTCTTTTTGATGTAGAAATTAACTCACAAAGGAGCCTACTAACATGTCAAATGTCAACACAATTAGGTAGAAACAGGACTCTAATTCTGATTTCTATTTCCCCCTCTTTGCAATACTAACAGAACTTACAAAAGAATTTGTTAAAAGTCTTGAAAAGAGGCTAAGGACTAAGCTTTTAAAATTCCTTCCATGCTCAATATTATTTAAAGCCCTAGCCCCTTAAGTAGAAAAACATACAGGGAGTATTAGAAATAGACTTAAGGCTCATTTGTGATGCCTAGTGGCTAAAATTGTTTCTAAATAATAGATTGATGTATGCCAAAACAGTACTAGGGCACTTGACCTACTTTCTAAATGTCAAATCTTACATTAAGGGTTTAAGCATTTGAAGCTTCAGAATTGCCTCTTTTACAGACTTTAGAGCAAACTGAAAGAATTTCATGACTTAACATGCTGAAGCTTTACTTAAGGCATGTTGATAGAGGTACCAAAGGAGAAATTGTCTTAATCCCTCTAGGGAAGTAAAGGAAATAGAATAAATGCTTAAAGATGACATTTAGATTGAAAAAAAAATTTGTACATAAACACACATACACACACACACACTCAATCAAACACATAGCCCCATAACAAATCCACCCTGATTTCTCACCTGAAGTAGTTCGGCCTATATGCTCATGTATACATGCATAAATAATTTCTATTACATATGAACAATTTTAAGCTATTAAATTAACAGAAGTATTCCATTGAACATAGAAACAATAAAAATTAAATGACTATTTCAATTACATTTATTTCAGTTATGAAATAAGATTATGTTTTAAGATAACTAAAAGGAAGTTGTCTTTTAAGTCAATAGGACTAGATCTAAGGCCCAAGAAATTATATGACTAAATAAATATGTGATTTATTTAAAAATGGGCCAAGATCAATAAATTATGATAAATCTAGGTCACATTACTAAGAAAAATAAGTTTATTCAAGTGTATTACTTATCTTAGTGGTTGACAATCATATTTATTAACAAAACAATTCTTGATACTATTGGAGAAATTGTGCAGAGTGAACCATTGGTCTCACCAAGAAAGACAGGCATATACTTACTCTCATAATACAGCAGAGGACTCAGTTTTCTCCTTTTCTTCTCTGTAAGATGATAATATTGTTATTTACTATAGAGTTTTCTGTTAGAATTAAATATGATAATCTATGTGAAAACATTTTATGTACTCCCGCTTTTATTTCATTTATAAATTGTACTCATTATAAATTTTATTTGTAAATTCCATTCATATAGATACTGAGATTGAGTACTTCTCTGTGCTGGGAAGTAGGAATACAGTAATGACCAAGATGAAGTCCCAGAATTTGTGGAACTTATTTTTTTTTTGAGAAACAGATACTAATAACAACTCACACAATCAGTTATTTACAATTGTGCTATTGCTAAAATGGACAAAATTTTGATCTAGATTATGCAGGCAGTGAAGGCTGCCTTGAGGAAATGGTACTTCAAACGGACTCTGGAGGTTTAGTTAGAATTAATTACTCATAGAAGGAACCTGCTCTGAGCAGAAGAAAGGGCATAATTGAATGCTCGGTGGTGGGAAATATATGCATGTGTTATGAGAATAAGACATATGAGGCTGAAATGGGAATATGAGGCTGGCTGTTAGAAAATACAAGGAGAGTGGCATAAAATCAAGCTGGTGAACAAAGCTGGGGTAGATTATTCATGTCCTTGTTAGATCTTTGTACTAAGAACAATGAGGATCTTCTGAAGGGTTTCAAGCAGGAAGGTGACATGATCAGATGTATAGTTTTAAAAGTTTCCCCTTGCTGCATAATAAAAAATGAAGTAGAGAATGGTGGGAGAGAATTCAGTGATATCAATTTAGAGGCTACTTCCATTGAGTAAGTAAGAAACAATGATAGCCAGGCCAGGGCAGTAGGGGCAGAAATGCAGAAAGGTATCCTGCAAGGGGTCACTGCCACTGTCACAGAGTAGCATTCATATTAACGTGTTAATTGTGGTTAGGCTTTCCAAGTGAAACTTTGGCCTACGTGTCCATTTGTCTGTAATGTTTTGATTATTGGGATTAGGATGAACTGAATAAAGGTTTTTTTTTTGTTTTTGTTTTTTTTGCTTTGCTATCGTTTGTTCAGAAATGCGTAAGTATAAGTAAAAACAAAGCATGAGTAAAAACAAAAGAGACATTATTTAATATGAACAGCTCTGCACGTAAGGAATTAACAAGGATGGAGGTTTCATTTTATCATGTACTAGCTAATACATAGTTTGCCAGGAATTTCTGAAGTTGAGGTTTGGCTCTGTGGTTTGGGAAGCCTCAATCTAAGTTCAGAGTTTTTATTCCTTCTAAATTTTAGGTAGCAGACAGTGGTCTTGTGAGATAAAAGGAAAAAAAAAAAGCCCTGCTATTTGATGTTCAAACAGTTTAGATAAATGACTTCTTATTTGGAGACATTTATTATTGTTTCTCTCTCTCTCTCTCTCTCTCTCTGTCTCTCTCAGATATCTCCTTATTTGATTGAATCTTTACTGAGGTGCCTACTTGGGAAATGACAGCATAAGGGAAAATAGATGCAGCCTAAATAAATGTAAGCCTTGCTGAGAAAGAGGCCAGCTTAAGATGTAAATACTGATAACAATAAAAAGAATTCGGCCCTTGGGATGAATACAAAGAAAAGTCATATTCAAACACTACATCATGATTTTTAGCTTCCACAGAAGCCACAGAAATATTTATTATTTATATTCTACATATAATACTGCAAGCCCTATTTACGTGTGAGATTTAAAAGTAATTGTCCAGCAGAGATCAAGTGGAGTGGCTTATGTAACTGTTGAGATGCTCCAGGAGGGCACAGCTCCAGGTGAAATGAAAAGTATAGAACCAATAAAAAGAAACAAAAATTCTGAGGCATCTTCTAGGGAGAAGATTTTAGCATCCATCTCACCTCACAGGCTTGAGACTCCTTCCTAGTTCTGAACTCTCAGGCAAAGTGGTCTTTTGTGGGGGTGAAAAGTGGCTGTCATCAAATGACTCCTACCTGTGTCAAGGCCGTTCAGAGTTTCCTGGAGGATTATGATGCCTATTCAGACTGCAGTGCACTTGTGGTTCGAGGCTTATCCAAACCTTAACGGAAATGATTGGCATCAGCAGAAATGGCAGCATGAGGATCTTAGAAATTTCGCCCCTCCACAACCTCCACAAAAGCAAAGAAAAAGCTGGCAAAAAATAAAAAATAAAAATATATATTGTTCAGAACTCTGGAAATAAATCAAAGGCTTGTAGCAGTGTGAGAGTGTGTATTCAATAAAAATTACCAAATCACAGTAAAAACAAGTTTTGTGCTACCTTAACTCACCCTAGTTCCATCCCATTTCACAGCTCAGGGATAGCCTTGAGAAAAAAAAAATGCCCACGTTCCCAGTACCAGAGGTTGTATAATTGAGCTAAAGCTCTTTCTAAGCTTCATTTCCACAAAGATGGCATTATTTGACCTGCCTCGTGCTTTCATGGAAAATTCTACTCAAAATCCACGTCTTTATTTGACTTGATAGAACATGCTCAGTGCTAACAGACTCAGAAAACATTCACTGGCCAGTATTTTAACTTACCACTGCCTGAGGCAATGAGTAACATTTGGGGCAAACAATAGACTTACCAGAAAGCTTAAAAGAAAATGAGATATCTATAAGACTTTTACTTTTAAATCTCCAACATACTTCTGGGCACCCAGGAAGCCATTTACATGCCTAGGACTGTGCACATGTTCAGGAAAGAGCCAAGAAATTCTGGAAAGCACATTTTCTGATCGTAATAAAAATAAATTAGAAATTATTAACAGAATCTTAATAAATTAATAAATATTTGGATATTAACAACGACAGACTCCTAAATAACCAATGGGTCAAATAAGAAATAATAAGGAAAATTATTAATAAAGATAAAATGTGAATAAAGATGAAAATGCAGTGTTACATTTGGAGATGAAGTATACTTAAAAGGAAATTTATGGTAGTAAATACCTACCTTAGAAAAGAAAAATCTCAAACCAATAACTTAACCTTCTACCTAAAACATCTAGAAAAAGAAAAGCTCTAAACCCTAAGGCAGCAAAAGAAAGGAAATAATTACTATTAGAGCATAAATAAATAAAATAGAAAAAAAATAAAGAATCAGCAAGACCAAACGTTTTTTTTGAAAAGATCAACAAACCAAAGAACTTCTAGCTATACATATTAACTAAGAATAAAGAGAGAAGTTTAAAATTACTGAAAGAGAAAAAAAGAGAGATAATTACTACAGACCTCAGAGGGAAAAAGAGATAATAAGGAAATGTTATGAACAATTTTATGCCAACTAATTAAATTATATGAAACGGAAAAATTTCTGGAAAGACATAAAAACTAATGAAACTAACTCAAGAAGAATAGAACATTTGACTAAACCTATAATAAGTAAAGAGAATGAGTTATTAAGCAAATGACTCTTCACAAAGAAAAGTGCAGGACTATATGGCTTCACTATTAAATTCTGTTTAAAGAAACATTAACACAAATCCTCTCAAACTCTTGCAAAAAATAGAAGAGGAGGAAAAACTTTCTAATTTATTTATAACATCAGTATTCTGATAGAAAAACCATCACAAGAAAAGAAACTATAGACTAACGTCCCTTACGAATATAGATGCAAAAATCCTTAACAAAATACTAACGAACAAAATCCAGTAACATGTGAAATGCATTATACAAGATGATCTGGTGGTGTTTTTATTTCTTTTTCTTTTGAAATAGGGCCTCACCCTGTCACTTAATCTGGAGTGCAGTGGCATAATCATAGCTCACTGAACCTCGAATTCCTGGGCTCCAGTGATCCTCCCACCTCAGCCTCCCAAGTTGCTGAGACTACAGGCATGGTCACCAAGCCTAGCTAATTATTATTATTATTATTATTGACACGAGGTCTTGATATGTCGCCAGGGCTGGTCTTGAACCCCTGGCCTCAAGAGATCCACCCACCTTGGCCTCCCGAAGTACTGGGATTACAGGTATGGGCCATCATGTCCGGCTGATCAGGCGAGTTTTATCCTAAGTATGTAAGCCTTGTTCAACATATGAAAATCAAGCAATATAATATATTCTTAACAGAATAAAAAATAAAAGAAAAGAAAATTACATGATTGTCTCAATAGATGCAAAAGAGCAACTGACAAAATCCAACACTTTTTGATGATAAAACACTCAACACATTAAGGATGGAAGGTCACTTCCTCAATCTAGTAAAGGGCGCCTATGAAAAACCTAGAGCTAATATCATACTTAATGTTCAAAGGCTGAAAGCTCTTCCCTAAAAGCATAAACAAGATACAAATGTCTACTCTTTGCACTTGTATTCAATAATGGGCTGGAAGTTCCGGCTAGGGAAATTAATAAGAAAAACAAAGAAAATGCATAATATTGTAAGGAAAGATACTTTGGATTGTCAACAGCAAGATGGTCACCTAGAGTTGCCTGGGGCTTGTTTCCCCCAATAAAAAGACCAAAACAATAAATAAGCAATTATATTTCCATTGGAGTGACTGAGGAATTACACTTCAGAGCACGAAGAAAGTGACAAAATCCCTGTGTAGCACAGAAGCCCAGAATAGCACTATAAAGAGCAGAGTGAGGCATTCACTTCTGCCACAGTCTTCCCTATCTAGTTCAGCCCAAAGTCAGAAGGAACTTGTTCTTACAGGAAAATAGGTAAGTTAGAGAGCCCCAGCAGGTCCCATTGTCACCACAAGCACCAGCAGTTCTTGCTACAGAAGGGCTCCCCCAGTCATCATAGGCCTTGCATCCTGTGAGGATTCTTGGAGAGTAGATAGGAGTTCATGTAGCTGCATGGTACCAGAGTAGGCATTCACTCTGAACACCTCCCACCCTGCCAGCTAAGTTGCTATGGCATGGCACCATCTTGAAATTGAACTCACTGCTAGAGTACATCCTGCCTGGGGGCCAGAAGCAACTGATTCTATGTATCCCTGAGGCCCTGCCATCATTTCACCTTGCTCACACAGGTGCTTCCAACAGCAGGATTTTATCTTTCTGGAACCTAGGCAGGATGAAAAGACTAAGATTTTCAGTTGGAACCTACATGGCACCCCATCCCCTCCAGGGACACGTGGAATGCCATAATGCGAAAGCTGCCAAACAGCTGGCCACCCTCTCACCCATGTGCACCTGCACCTCACAGCCAGCTGGCCCCTTCTGTCCCTGTGTACCAGCACCCAGCCTGAAAGCTAGCCAGGTGACAGCCCTGGCCGCTGATACACCACCACAGAGCTGCCTCGCCATGCCATATGTATGCCTGCTGGCACGCCAGTCTGGACAGCTGGCCTAGTGGTGTCCCTGTCTCTCTGGGCAGACCAATGCAGAGCTGCCTGGTCCTGCTGCGACCACATGCACCTGAGCTCAACTTAACAGCCAGCCTAGTGGCAGCCACCATTTCAAAACAGAAATGAAATAGAAAGTAAAAAAAGCAAGTCAAAGGTTCAACAAAATGAAAAGTTGTTTCTTTGAAAAGTTAAACAAAATCGACAAACCTTTAGCTAGACTACGAAAAGAGAAGACTGAAACAAATAAAACCAGAGATAAAAAAGAGACATTACAACATACCACAAAAACACAAAAGATCAGTTTGAACAAAGAGATAGCATGAACAACCATACACCAACAAATCTGATAATACAGAAGAAATATATATTATCCTGGACATATAAAACCTACCAAAATTAAACTATGAGGAAATAAAAAATCCAAACATACCAATAAGGAGCAAATAAATTGAATAAGTAATAAAGGTCTTCCATGAAAGAAAAGCCCAGAACCTGATGGCTTCACTGACAAATTCTGCCAAACATTTTAAGAAGAACTAATATCAATTTTCCTCAAAGTATAACAAGAAACTGAAGAGGCTTGAAGTATACCAAAAAATTGAAACGCATTTTACAAGCCCGGCATTACCCTGATTCCAAAACCAGACAAGAACACAACAAAAAAGGAAAACTACAGTACAATATTTCTAATGAACATAGATGCAAAAATGCTCAACAAAATATTAGAAGACTGAATTCAACAGCACATTGACAAATGTGCAAAAAGATGATTTACTATGATTAAAGGGGATGTATCTTAGGGATACAGGATGGTTTAGCAGACACAAATCAAGAAACATGATACATCACATTAACACAAGAACAATAACCATCTAACCCATTTCAATAGACACAGAAAAGACATTTGTCAAAATTAAGCATACCTTCATGATAAAATCTCAACAAATTAGGCATAGAAGGTATGTTCTTCAATACAATAATGACCGTGTATGACAAATCCACAGGTAACATCATGTTGAATGAGAAAAAAAAAGTTTAGTAATGCCACAGGCTAGACAGAGGCAACAATTTAATAGAACTGAAAGTTCAAGGATAAAGCCACACACCTATGGTCAACTGATTTTTAATGAGCACCAAAGCCACATAATGGGGGAAAGAATAGTCTTTTCAGTAAATGATGCTGAAACAATTGAACATCCTCATGCAAAAGACCCTTTTGTAATTCATCTTGGTTCCAATTCTTTGTCTCATCAAAAATAAAAGGATAACTTAATCAACTTCTTATTAAATTTTTTGATGACATTTTAATGAGATTTTTGTCATAGAATTTTGAAGAATTGAAGAATTTAAAAGAATGATCTGAACTTGTTATAAAACTTCCATTCCCATCTACGTATTTGTAGGATAAATAAATTGTTATGTTATATGGAAAAAATAGAAAAACAGAAATGAAAACAATAAACCCTGTCTTATTCAAGCAATATATAGTATTCTTCCATAGAAACATAAAATAATGAGGGAAAGCCCTATTAACATTACATCAAAAGATGTATTTTTATATTTAACAATTATTGAAACTTACAGTATATTAATTTACTTGTTGGAATGATAACTCATTCCAGAATATTTTAACTATTAGAGCTATATTGGCAGAGAAAATAAAATATTCAATTTGTATAGATATTTTTGTTGCAGCGAATTGTGCTGGGGTAATTTAGCTAAAGTTTCTTTTCTTTTCTTTTACTTTTTCTTTTTTTTTTTGAGACGGAGTTTTGCTCTTGTTGCCCAGGCTGGAGTGCAATGGCACAATCTCGGCTCACCGCAACCTCCACCTCCCAGGTTCAAGTGATTCTCCTGCTTCAGCCTCCTGAGTAGCTGGGATTACAGGCATGTGCCACCGTACCCAGCTAATTTTGTATTTTTTTAAGTAGAGACGGGGTTTCTCCATGTGGGTCAGGCTGGTCTCGAACTCCTGACCTCAGGTGATCCACCCTCCTTGGACTCCCAAAGTGCTGGGATTACAGGCATGAGCCATTGTGCCTGGTCTTAGCTAAACTTTCAAGCATAGTAATATATTTCTTTCAAATAAAATTTTGTGTGAAGTGTAAATGAATATAGATCAATGTAAGTTTCTACCTTTTATGAAAAGAAAAGGGATATAATAGACAAAAACATGTATCAAATTGATACCAATGGATAATGATAATAAAAGCAGACACTCAATGGCACAGGCTCAGTCAAGACAGAGGCAATGACTCAGATGGAAGTCTGGGCAGGCCAATGCCAGACTTAGCCATTGGCTGAAACGAAGATGTTTGCCAGAAAGTTGATGTCCCAAACTGATGCTAAGGCTTGGATATTGAAGTTTAAGCAGCAGTCAAAAAAAGAAAAAAAGGAAAAAAAAAGACCCAAACCCAGGTAATGGTTCTGACTAGAAAATAGAGCCTGAGGTCATGGCCAAGCCAAAGGCTGAGCCCATGCCTAGACACTGCCCTATCAAGACTAAAGCCAAGGCATGAGATGAGAGAAAGACCAGCAGAGATTCCAGGGTCAGAGCGGGAGTGGGTGTTAATAGGTTGGTGCAAAAGCCATTGCAGTTTTTGTCACTACTTTTAATACCAAAAACTGCAATTAGTTTTTAGAATTACCCTTTAGTCCTATTCAAATTCATAGCAAGAGCTGACACTAGCATAATATAGAGGTGATGGGTGCACAACCCTGTGAATGTACTAAATGCTACTGAATTGTACACTTAAAATGGATAACTGTATTTTATGTGAATTTCACCTCACTGAAAACAAAGGTATTTGAAGTTGTATTCATCCTTGAGGATCTTATCACCTAGGTGGAGAGACAAGAATAACTGAAATAAAATGACTTGAAAGTTTTTTTAAGTTAAAAAAGGACAATAGAATTAGGAAAAAATGGTCAAAATTAGAACTCGCTTTCTGTTTAGCTATAAAAAAAGTAAACATTTTATAAATTGAACAATATGTGGTTCTTTAGATTAATCATATTTAGTGTTTTTCTTTTTGTGCTTGACAGAAAAAAAATTAACTCCAAATTAAGGCAAGAATAAAATGTTGCTTTGGGCGTGATCTCGACTGAGATTTTGAGGAGTTGAGCTTCAGACCGAATTTTCTTTCAACACTGAGCTTTGTTACTATAGTTATAGTGAGAAATCAGAAATCAGAAAAGGGCCAGACAAGGGTTTGGCTTTAGTCCTAGGACCAAATTTGAGTCCTTGTGGTTGATAAACTGATGTGCTCAATTGTTACAACTAAAAATTCTTTAAGAGCTGTGGCTGCTATAGGTACCAGTACCATGTCCACATTTGCCTGAGATCTCAGTTTTACAATGAGAATGATCTCAATTATTGAAAACAATAATTTCTACCCTCAGAGTTAGGCTAGGACTTTAAATTTTTTTTATAATTAGAGCAAGAATAGCCAGCAATCAAATGAATGAGGACACAATTTCTTATTTTTCAACTCAGCCTGGAACTGGCTCAATTGTTAAATGGCCAAAATATTATTAATGATTATTAAAACCAATAGACACAGTAATCATTATTTCAGAACATTTTGAACTGTTAGTCATAGTAAGTGGGAAAAAAAATTATACCTTCTGAAATAGTTTAAAAATTTGCCTAAATATCTAACCATGACCAAAGGACTGCTTGGTAAAATAAGTACCACTATTTAACCAGAAAGATAAAATACTTACTGCATTGCTCTATGAAATAAAATAAATTAGTTTCCAAAGGAGATCAGCTATGTTCTTTAAGTATCAGTTCACTTAAAATTTACTCCCCCTACCTCCTGATCCCCTGTGATTCATGAATGTAAAGTATACACTAAGAAATATGCAGTCTTGGCAGCTTATCACAATGATGCTGAGGTGAGAGAAAAAATAGTCCATGATTAATGACCAAACTGATTGTCCGTATGCTCTCTGTAAGCCTCAATAAAAATTTTAGTTTTGCAGACTGGAATCAACATATTTTATAAATAACAGCATTAATATAGATATTCCCCCTACTGTTCTCTGGGTTAAAATTGAACTATATCAAGGGTCCTAAATGAATACAAAGATTGAACTAAAATGCATGTCAGCTTTTGATATTGGTGTCAGGAATGAATATTTTTATTTTGTATTTTATTTTCATGAGCTGATAGCAAACATAAACATCATAAGTATATTTTCATGTTATCATTGTACTGACTTGCAATTAACTATTTGAGACACGATTTTTGAACATCACTGGTAAAGTTGTATTAGAATTGGCAAAGGAAAAAAAAAAACAGAAAGTCCATTAAAGCTTCTTGAATGTACTATAGCGAAATCTCACCTTAAAAAGATGCAATGTAAGCCAAAGACAGAAGAATGGCCAACTCCAAAAGATATTAGCTCCAGGCTTAAAGCAAAACGAAATCGCAACAAAACAATCTAATAAAAAAGGAAATCCCTTGAAGCTACTTTATGTTATTAAACTTAATGAGGACATAAATTAAATAAAATAGAAACTTTTAAGCTATTTATGTATGTGCACATGCAAGAGAGAGAGATTGTGTGTGTATGAGTGGAATAAAATGTAAATGAAGATGAGAAAATGAAGAAGACAGTGAACAAAACAACACACACAAGATGAAAAAATTATAAAGAGCATGGAATAGAGTGGCAATATTTGAACATTAAATTACTCATAAAGACAAGTCTGGAGATAGCTGCATGGAATTCCGGGAGGAAAAACATAAAGAATAAGGCACAACAGGTATTAGAAACAAAGATAATAATAATGGAGACAATGACAAACCATTGTAAGGATTTTTAAAGTCCCTGAAGTTAAAAAGAAAATACTCTAAAAACCATAGACAAAAAGAATCGTAACAATATATTAGAAAAAAAAAACTTTTTAATTTTTTTCTTCAAAATCTGGATGAGGAAGAAATAACTATTTTATAAAAAAAGCCTACATTTTAAAATGGCACCCTCCATTCTAGGACACAACCTAACCAAAATTTGTCACAGAGACATTATTTTTCTTAAAGTTACAAAGGCTTAATTTCCAATATTTATTTATGACAAGCTCATAAACATTTGTAGGAAAAGAAATATAAACTATTTAATAGAAAAAAGGGCAGAGAATGGGAAACAATTTTGAGAAAAGTAAAAATAACCAATATACATAAAAAAGGTGTGGAAAACATAAATCTTCCCAGTAATTATATCCAAGTTAAAGTGTAGTTTGTTTATAGTCAAACAAACAATGAAATACTATTTTTTAACATATCAGATTGTTAGAATTTTTATTTAATTTTTAAATTTTTTATTTTATTTTTATTTTTTAAATTTTTTTTGAGACGGATTCTCGCTATCTCTCAGGCTGGAGTGCAGTGGCACGATCTCGGCTCACTGCAAGCTCCGCCTCCTGGGTTCACGCCATTCTCCTGCCTCAGCCTCAGGAGTAGCTGGGACTACAGGCGCCCAAGACCACGCCCGGCTAATTTTTTGTATTTTTAGTAGAGACGGGGTTTCACGATGTTAGCCAGGATGCTCTCCATCTCCTGACCTGTGATCCGCCCGCCTGGGCCTCCCAAAGTGCTGGGATTACAGGCGTGAGCCACGGAGCCTGGCAGATTGTTACAATTTTTAAAAGGTTGAAAATATGTAGTTCTAGCAGAATATAGGAAAACACGTACTATCAAAAACTGTTGGTGGGAGCACAAATTAAATATTTGAGCGAAGAGTTTGAAAATAACTAACAATTTATTATGCTATTGAGGGAGGGAGACATACCGCTTAGGGGAGAAACCTATTATGTAGGAGGAGGAAAGGCACTGATGTGATTTGGCTGTTTCCCCACCTAAATCTCATCTTGAATTGTGGCTCTCATAGTTCCCACGTGTTGTGGGAGGGACCTGGTGAGAGATAATTGAATCATGGGGCGATTTCCTCCATACTGTTCTCGTGATAGTGAATAAGTCTCGTGAGATCTGATGGTTTTATAAGGGGAAACGCCTTTCGCCTCAATGTCATCCTCCTCTTGTCTGCCGTCGTGTGAGTTGTGTCTCTCACCTTCTGCCGTGATTGTGAGGCCTCCCCAGCCATGTGGAACTGTGAGTCCATTAAATATCTTTCTTTTGTAAATTGCCCAGTCTCAGGTATGTCTTTATCAACAGCGTGAAAATAGATTAATACAGGCACCAAGGTTAACATGAATTAAAGTAATTAATCAGAAAAACCTATGCACATGAGACAGAGCCTGGGAGAGAGAGAGAGAAAAAAAAGCAAATATAAAAATGAGAGAAAACAAACCAAATAGTAAAATATTTGCCGAATTTTAAACACAACAGTGAGGGCAGCTACGACTCTGTCCAGGAGAATGCAGTCAGATAGCTGGAAGGGCTCAGCCAGGGCAGCATTGTGCAAACTGCATTATAGAAAAACAAAAACCCAACAAGGAAATGATTCTCCAATAATTAAGCGCAGAGCATCCCAATTACTTCCACCTTGGGGAAAGCTTGGGAAGGGGAAAGATTTGGAAAGCACTTCTGAAGTACATTAAGAATGAGGTCAGAATGAGGAAGAGTTTGACTTTAAGCACAGAAAGGTTAACTCAAGCTTGCATGCATCAGGAACCAAGGATTTTTTTGTTAGATGGGCCTATTGCTTCTCCCTCAGATTGGTACAGCCATTTTATATAAATAGAAATGATATTCTTGTATTGATAGCTCTATCTCTGTCTACATATGCTATTATTCATCAATTAGCTGCATCACCTGAACAAGGCTCACCCTTTTAGAAAATTAAAAGGTTGAGTACTTTTTCAGTCATAAAAGTCTTATGCTAGTTTAAAGTATATTAGATGACCTTTAAGAATCTTAGAGAAGATGGAAAAAATTTATTAGCTCAACTCTCAAAAACTCTTTTGTTCTTTTGGCATTAAATCATTGTATTGTCAAGCTTTTCCAGAGAAACAGAACTGGTATGTGTGTGTGCACGTGTGTGTGTGTAATAAGAATTGGCTCACAAGATTATAGAGTCCTAGAAGTTCTACAATCTGCCATTTGCAAGCTAAAAACCAAGAAAACCTGTGGTATAATTTTATTTTGAAGGCCTGAGAATCAGAGTGAGGGGGAAGGGATCAAACTGGATGATGTCCACCCACATTAGTGAGGGTGTTCTTTTTTTCACCAGTCTACCACTTCAAATTCTAATCTTTTCCAGAAACACAGACACACCCAGAAATGATGTTTTCTGAGCTATCTGGGCATTCCTTAGCCCATTTAAATTGGCACATAAAATTAACCATCAGAACTACTGAGTTTTTTTCTCTTTTGAAATGTGTATTTTCTAACTTCAAGATGTATTTAATAAGATATTTAAATGACAATTAGATCCATGAGCCTTCACTTTACATTCAAATAAAAAGTAACAGAAACAAATTCACTCATATATTTTCCATATTCTTAAAGAAAACACAGTCAAAATCATGTTACATATATTATCATCTGACACCATGAACAAACCCTATTTTGAAAGCATTTTGGATATAAAATATACACTTAAAAATGATAAAAATGTAGTATACAATTGACAGAAATGATAAAACTGATTAGACGTTTTCAACTTTTCTTATGATTTATGATGGCATTTATTATGGTCTTTTCTTGACAGTTACAAAATAGAACAAAGGCACTAATATAAAGTTATAATTTTAATTAGAATGTGCTCTAAAATTATTGATTTATTTGATTTATAATGTAAATATGAAATCTGTGTAATCACTCCTAAAATACATCCAATTTCTTTGGTATATTAGCCTTGTGTAATTTGCTCCCTTTTTTTTTTTTTTTTTGCAATATTTGTAACATTTCATATGGATGTAGTGAATCAATTTTACAAAGCTATTACTGAGTTGGAAGTGTGGGCAGCAGTAAGTTATAGGATCACTGGACTGATTCCAAATAATAACTTTGAGGGGAAAAAACCTGGCAGAACTGCAAATAGCTCCAGATATTGATGTAATCATGGGACAGAAAGTGAATATTAGTTGCCTTTTACTGTATACCAGACACACATTATCTATTTTAATTCTGATAGATGATGATTCCTAGGGTAGGAAAAGTTGACAAACATGTCTTATGTATGAATAATAGTAAAGCCAAGATTCACATGTAGGGCTTACCGACACTACAGCCTATTCTCTGTTCCCCACATCACTCCTATTTCCCAAGTTAAGGGGAACAACAGAGTGGAAAATGACGTAGCTAGAAACCTGCATTCATACGTTGACACTGAGCATCAATGTGGCATCCCTCTCGTTCCTTCAAAGCAGACAATAGGTCAGAAATGAAAGTTTACAGTGTGCACAGCAGAGGAATCCAGTAAAAGAAATAGAATCAAATTGTTTACAATTAAATCGAGTATAGGCCTCTGTTTAGGGGAAGAATAAGTTTCCCAAATGTGATTGGCTAGAATACTTGAGGTGGAGGTAAGGAAGGAAGCTGCTGAGGGAGTATCTTAGTGTAGATAGAGCCGTGTGAACAGGGTCCGAATTCCACATTGAGATGTTTTGTAAACCTATGGCATCTTAGCTTTCTAGCCCCACTACCGCCGTGGTTCAGAACTTTCCAGCTTCTCACCTGGAAAATATATTCCTTTCTCCCTTCATTAATTATTAAACATTTATTATGTGCCAGGCATTGTACTAGGCACTGCAGATGCAGTGATAATGAATATGGACCTGATTCCTGCCCTCGTGGAGTTTATAATCTGGTCAGGACTGGATGGTAGAGACAGGTAATTAGAAGATTATAACAAAGTGGAAAAGTGAATGTTAGAAGACAGTATGTCACTTTTTAAATAACGAGATCAGCTGAAATGTAGAATATGTTGTCTTGTGTGGAGATAGGCAAAAAAGAAGAGAAAGAACAGGGTAAGTGTTAAGTAATATTAAAGCAATGTTACTTGTGATCAAAATGCATGATACATACAAGAAAATAGGAGTAGTGTGAAGTAGTAGCAAGATTAATTTCAACGACAAACTGGTAGTCATTCAGAGATTCACTTACCTTTTTTCTTTTTTTTTCTTGGAAAGAGAGGCTTGCTCTGTTGCCCATGCTGTAGTGCAGTGGTGCAATCATGCCTCACTGCACCCTCCACCTTCTGGGTTCAAGTGATTCTCGTGCTTCAGCCTCCCAAGTAGCTGAGATCACAGGCATGCCAAGCCCAGCTAATTTTTTTTGTATTTTCAGTAGAGGCAGTGTTTCACCATGTTGCCCCAGGCTGGCCTCAAGTGATCCACCCACCCCAGCCTCCGAAAGTGTTGGGATTACAGGCATAAGCCACTGCACCCAGCCTCATTTACCAATTTTTACACACTCAATCTTGTATGTTATACAGCAAAAGGCAAAAGAAGATATGATACACAATCCTTTAGTCCTAATCCTTGTTCTCAAGGACGTTCCACCTAATTTCACAAAGGAGTTTTTGGCTCTGGTCATTCTAAATTTTTGATATCAAAAGTAATGCTGGTAGACACAGCCATTCCTTGTGGGCATGGGATTCTGGACAGTCCACACTGTTAGGGAGTGTGCTAACAAAATCTCTTGAATTTTTAAATAGATCTAGCAAAAATACTTAGTAATAATGAAAATATTGACCACATGCTGATGAGTGAAAATACAAACTTATGTAAAAGAGAGCACAACATGGTCCTAGTTCTGTGAAAGGTATATTTTAATGTATGTTAATGCAAGAAAAAAATCCAGAAGGCTATTATGTATTGCACATAGTCGGCCTTTGGTAATATTTGTTGAAAATATAAATGAATGACCAAGTGAATAACTGAATATGTCAATATTGGTTTTCTCTGAGTATTGGAATTATAAGTGTTTTTTTCTTCATTCTACTTTGTTCACAGTCCAAACATTGTACAGTAAATACCTAATACTTCATAATTCTAAATATAGTTTAAAAATATATTTTAAAAGAGAACCATTACAGAAGATCAGTTTAAGAGATACCTGCAGAACAAGTTAAGGTAGGAATAACTTACTTTCTTTGTGACTGAAAAGGCAGGGGAGATAGGATTGGAATTTTTGGGCTGGTTATGCACATGACAGCCCCAGTTCCTTTTTAGGACTAGCTGTAAGGGCTAGATGCTTACTTTACATCCACTGGTCTGTTCTATCACTGTCAATAAATGCTAGGGAGGATAAACATCTTGCTTTATCCTACCCCAAGGACCTCTAGTTATAAATTAAATGGCATTCTACTTTTCATATATTAAATCAACACTGCTTGCACACCATCAGGACAGCCTATGATATTTCCTTGCTGTGCTGCAAGCTCTTTGAGGGTAGATAATTGTGCCTTTTCCTCTTTCTATTTACAGCACTTCACACAGCATTAGGCAAATACTGGGTATTTTGTAAAGGCCTGTTGGATTTTACACTGCTTTTCTACTCTTGGCCTTGAATTAGTTTAAATCCTTCTTTATTTTCTAGTTTAGATTCCCAGGCTATTAAGAATAAATTTATAGGATAGTTGGCTTTAATGGTGGCTCCAGGTGGCAGCCATGGAGCAAAAGGAAGAACATTTTGAGTATCACATCTCTGGGATTCGTGTCATATCAATAAAAATGGTGGATCCTAGAAGTAGGGAGGACAGTGCTAGATAAGTACCCATTTGTCTTACACATGCCTGTGCATGCACACACACATTCACTTATGTGCAAGCACATGTTTCGCCGAGAAGGGTATAATTTTTGTTAGAATTAATCAGAAAATAATGGTCGGATACCAATACAGTTAAAAAAATCTCACTGGTAAGCCAAAACACTTTTGGAACTCTAACACCATAAAACAAGTGTTTATACATGCGTATGCTGACTTATCGTTTTGTTTTGACCCCTTGTTTGATGCACCAGTACCTCGTTGAACCAAGTGTCACACCTGATTCTGTGTCCTCTCTGTTTGAATTATTTTTCTATATCTTGAAGTCAATAAAACTGTCTGACAACGTTGGCTGTTTCATTGCTTAAACTCCCCTGAGGGTTATCTCCACATCCCATTAACAATAAATTTGTTTCTCACATTGAATCATCATTGGATCAAGTGAAGACATGAACTCAATTCTTCAGTTAAACAATATGAGAAACCATATTGCAGATGAGGTATGGAGTGATACTGTTAATCCTTTTTTCTCCACTTTATTCTAAAATCTGTAACAATTAATTTTCCTTCTTAATTATTTTTAGAGTTATAGTAATTCTAAGGGGCTGTCCTATTTCATACCTTTAAAAATATATATAAGAGTCTATTTTTTCCTCATGGAGGAATCATAAATTTAAGCACATATAGAATTCTTACATAGTCTCTTTCTTTAGAAACTGAAGTGAAGAACTGCATTTGAAGTAAGATTTATACATGCTTTAATGAGAGAGACACTTAAGGCAAAAAGAAAAGATAATACTTGGACTTCTAATTGAAACATTTCTCTTCCTACAGTCTTTGCTTATTTATATTTGTAATGTAGAAAATATGGGTTTATGGGTTAACTGTGAGTTCATTTCCCAAATATATACAATAGTTTTGTTTTCTTTACCATTACTCTATTGAAATAAAAGGCTATAAATTAAGACAGAGTCTCCATAAAATCATCGTAACTAAAATGGAAATTGCAAATAGACTACAAGAGATTTAAAGAAGCCTCCTGGTTAGAGAGAGCCAGGTTAGTGAAAGGGAGGATATTTCTAGTTTGGGTTTTGCTACTAAATAAATGTATAACCGTAGGATAACTATTTAATCTTTTGAGTTCTCAGTGTTCTCACGTGTAAAGTAAGAGTGATGGATGAAACGATCTTCATGGGCCATGCTATGAGAGTAAGATTCTAAATCAGGTGCTCACATAAACATTATTGACTTTGGTTATCTATAACATTTTACTTGTTTTTTAAAGTGATTCTTCATTTGAGTAATATGTTGTGTGGGAGTTATATGTAGTTAGCCATAAAAATGAATTGAGTAAAATGGTGATGGTTTGTGTTAGATTTAGAGGAGTTAAGGTAAATACCTGGCAAACATGCCACTTCTTTCTTTCAGCCTTGTGGCAATGATAGATATCAATCATTGATCAAAGCCTATTATTCTGTTAAGGATCTTGAGGCTGGGCCTGAAGCCAAGTACTCAAGCATATACTGCCTACAGATGATAAAAATGAAGTTCAGAGTGATAAAAGATCATTCAAGATCATAACTTCATGTGGATGATAAATTCTGCAACGAAGACTTGAAACAGTCATTTTATTTCTCATCTGTAACAAGTAAAATCATTCATTAATTAACATTTAAGAATATTTTAGTCCTATCTTAGTTGACAATAGGTGACACATAAGTAAGCGACAGAATTTACAACAGCAAATAAGCTTAGGAGAAACAGACACAGGTGTAAAGGAGGGTATCACAATCGCTACTAATTTAAAACAAATGTTTACACGTATTCAGTGTGAAACACTGGTTTTATAGTGATGAAGGTAATGAGAGTTGCCCCTGCAATCGTAGAACTTGGAGTCCAGTTGGAGGATAAATGAGAGTAGTAAATATATACACTAATTATAATGGAGATTTGATATGTGCTATAACGAAAACAGAGCAACATGAGGAATAGCAAGAGGATAGTGTTTGGATAGGAGCTTCTAGTCAATGCTGTGGCTTGATTCCTTCATTCATTCCCTCAGAACAGACATTCATTTCTCAGTCACTGGGGTATTGTCGGTTGATAGTTTATAGCTAATCCCCTTTCCAACTATTAATCTTGGCTTAAGGGAGCTGTTTCTTCCAAGGTATGCTTACTCCCTAGAGACAGATTGCATACAGTGAATGCTCAATGCAGGGTTGAAAAGGTCTGGCCCCAATGGTTCCAAGAAGAGAAACCTCGGAAGGTTTGTTCTATCTTTATTAATTCCTTTGGTGGTGGCAGAGGTTACAATTGCGGTGCATCATGGCTGTGCTTCTCCCTCAGTCTAATCCTGCTTTGCTCATTCTTTCACAGGTGTTGATGCTGAGAACTCCCCAAAATAAATTTCACCTCTGACTTTCTTAATCAGGGAACTTCTTACATCTGAAATAGTTTTCAAAGTGGTTTGAGGTAGTTAACTCTAAAATGAAATTTTGGAGTGGATTATCCACTGATCACCATGTAATGGGGACTCCATAACCAGTGATAGGTGGCATCTGGATATCACATAACATGCTGTGGCAAGTAATTGTTAAAACTTTCACTGATGGTGAACTGGGATGGGATATTAGTGGGCAGGAATGCATTGGTTGTTGTAATATCTCAGGCATATGAGAAGTAGTTATTGTAAAGACTATGGAATCATATGATGGCTGCTGGAGATTATTGCTGTGCTAGAAGTCAATAAAAATTTAGAATAATTATTCACCGATTTAGGGTAAACTATAGGAGAAGAGGATTTCTTTGGTAGTATACATACAATGAGACTTCCATTTCCTGTGGTTACATGGCAAAAAAAAGTTGAGGACCAGGACTAAATTATATGGGTAATTATATGGGAAATTCCAGAGATGGTTGGATTTCAGACCCTACACGTTTGCCATGCCATATTATATATCTCCGATTGGGAGAGAAAATGGTAAGGAGACACTGAGAATGATAAGGAGATATCTACATTGATACATTGAAGAACGTTGAATTCCCAATATCCTTTGGACGTGTAGAAGACTCTGCTCCTCTCTGGTAAAGGCCAGGGTTTCCCCTAGCTTGAAGACAATGCAGAGACCGATGCTTGAAAAATAACATTCTCAGTCCTGAGCATCTAGCACTACCTCCTCTCCGTGAACACACCAAAAATTAGGGTCAAGTAACAACGTAACCAGGTGGCAGCTGATAATACCTAAGGGTCAATTCTCAGTCTTCATTTAGCTTGTGCTATCAGTTGCATCTGATAGATAATCACTCCTACTCATTGAAATGTATTCTTCATTTGCTTTCCAGGATATCACTCTCCAATTTTTTCTCTGACAACATTGTCACTTTTTGTCATATATTGTTGCTAATTCCTCCTCATTTGACCACCTATTAATATTATAATACATCAAGATCAGTCACTGGACCTCTTCTCTCAGTGGTGTTCCCTCACTTTTTTAAATGTCTTATCCATTCTCATAGCATTAAGTGCCAGCTATATGGTGACAACACTGAAATTTGTATCTCCATGCCAGGCCTCTATTCCACAACCTCCAGTCTCATGCATCTAATTACCCACTCAACATCTGTATGTGGATATCTCATAGATATCCCAACCTTAGTGTGTCCTAAATGGATGTCCTTATCTTTTCTCCCTCCTCCTTAACCTGTGACTCCCGAAATGTATCCCATCTCAATTAATGATACCTTTTTTTTTTTTTACAGTTAGTCATGACAAAATGCTAGGTGCCATTATCTGACACCTGACTTTTCTCTTACCTTCAGTTGCTTTATCAAATCTGCACTTATATATTTATATATAAGTACAAATATATACATACAAATACTTATGTGTCTATAATCTCACCACTTCTTATTGTGTCCTGTCTACCTCTAAGTCACACTTATCTTTCTCCTAGATTGTTGCAATAGTTTTTATTACTAGGGGGAGGTATTTAGGACAGAATATGCTTTAATAAAATTTATGCATACTGAGATTTAGTGTTTATATATCTTCTTTTTGGTCTAAACACTCATGGCTATTAACATAATTGGCTATCTGGAATTACTGCAAATTGCACTAGACCCAATTTGTACCATAGGAATTTATAGTTATGTATTTCTTGTGGTTTACCTTGTTTATCCTCTAGGATGTCACAAAACTTGAAACCACGAGGAAGCAATACTTTTTATTCTACCCCTGCCCCTTGTGCCAGTCATTTGCCTTTTTCTCTTATGTCTGTTCTTTCCCAACCTTGTTTTGCTTTGTGCAAAGAAACTCGACCCTTAGAAACCGCATTTCCCCAAATCCCTTGCCAGCTGGCTCCTGCTTATATTTAGCCACTGGGAAGGGCTGTTGGGAGATTAGAAGTTGGAAAGAGGAAAGAGGCCAGTGTTCTTTCTGCTTCTGGAGGCTTATTCAACAGCAGGAAGTGCTTCTAAATTGCCCATCAGTGGTAATAGCATAGGCAGTAGTAAGTAACTGTGTGCTCTATGTGACCTTTGGAGGTTCTCGCTGCGGTGCCAGAAACTTCAGCAGCAAGTATGCTGCAGGCTATGGTAACATCACCTTTTCCCTTTGCTTCCTTCAGCACTAGGTGAGGTGTGGAAATCTCTGGGTTACTTCTGCTTCTCAGCTTTGATCTTGTATCCTTTCCAACTTTTTAGTAATCGAGTCCCAGTATTGAACCCCGTTTGCCTTAAGTTCCTTATGTGCTGGTTGTTTTCTTGACTGAATGACGACTCATGAACTCACTAGCCTTCAGTATCCCCAAAATATGAAAGCTAATGTTCTTAGTAAAATATAAATCACATTATATCACTTGTTCGCTCAAAACTCTTTAATGACTTTTAATGCCACTAGAAGTAAAACCAAAGTCCCATACACTGTCCTATAGGACCCTACACAGTTTTGTCCGTAGCTACTCTTTTGATCTCATATCCTACTACTACACTTATTTACTTCTCACTCAATGCATTAACCTCTATGATTTTCCTTGAGTTCTTGCTCCCACTTAAGGATTATTCACTCCCTATTCCCACTACCTGTGGATGCTCTTCCTAAGATGTTGACATAGTTTATTCCCGTATCTCCAATGATGTTTGTAGTCTTTCTAGGAAGGGCTTCCCTCTCTTCCATTTCTAAAATTGCATTGCACCCCTGCCAACACTCTTCCATTCATTTTCTTTATAACACCTCCTTCATTAACATGTTCAGTTTTACTAATTTATCTTATTTAATGTCTGTCTCTATTCAGTAGAGTTTTTACTCTATGAGGTTAGGTATTTTGATTATTTTTTCTTTGTTCTATTATCAGACTCTAAAGCATTGCTTGGATCTATTAAAGTTTTTGAACAAATTAATTAATAATACTTTAGAGAGAGGCAAGAGTGACAGGGAGGGGACTCCTAGGAGTCACACATAAACAATAATTATGGTTGTATGAAGATGCAACAATAGAAATAAAGAGGAGACAGATTCAAATTATGTTGACAATACCTGTTTTAGATGATGACAACCTGTGTATATGAGAAGGCAGTGTAGATACAGCATAATGATTAGAAGGGTGGCAAAAACTCTTCTAAATGGAAGTGTGGGAAACATTTCTTTTTATGTAATCTAACGCTTTCACATCCAATGTTTTTTTAAAAAAGCATATGTCCTAATTCTTATAATTTTTCCTTCTTATAAATATAAATTTGAGCTGTATACATCAGACGAATCTGATAGCCACATATTTTTTAAAACAGAGACTGTATATTGATGTATGCATCAGTTAGCTACTGTCATGATAATGCTGTATAACAATCACAAAAATATCAATGAAATTTAACAGTTTATTTAGTTCACTCACCTGAGGGCTAACAGGGGCTTTTAATAAAACGGGTTATTGTGTCTCCCTTGATTGCAGCTGAACTCTCTTACATGATTCTGGGTCAGCTAATCTAGGCTACAATAGCTAGAGAGACTGTTTCATGGTCTAGGTCTTTGAAACCAGGTCTGCTTTATGTATTTCCCATTCACATTGGACCAGTGGACTTTCCATGGATAGTCTTCTAATAGCTTTGACAGAAACACAAAAATGTATGTTGAAATGGATAAAATCTCTGAAGCCTTCAACCATAAACCAATATACTTTATGTCTATCTTATGTCTGCCACAGCAAGGCACATTGTTAATTCCAAAGTGAAGGGGAGAAAGTCCGAAGTCACATAACAAGGTGTGGATACAGAAAAGAATGAAGAATTGTGGTCAGTAACACCATTGATCACACTATAAAGTGTAGCTACATTCCAGTAATTATTTGTAATATTTGGAGATAATTTAGAATATTAATGATAACAGACTTTGCAATAGGATACAATATGTAAGTAGAAAATAAAAGTGATGCTCATGTGCAATATGCACATGATAAGGTTTTCTAAAGATCTTGAAAGAGGAATGCATTTTTGGTCCTGTTGTTTATAGTGTCCAAAATAATGAAGAAAACGTGTTTAGTCACAAATTCCAAAAAATGTATTGGGGAAAACAGACTGATATTGTATTAGCTAAATTAAGCCAAGTAAAAAATCTTTACTCTTAAAGTACATCCTTTATTTAGAGAAGGCTTTATAAAAAATTAAGATACAATTATAATAATGCATTTCTGTGTAGATTAATGGGGGGAAAGAACTTGAAAAATAATTTATTCTATTTCTTCTTGGTTTTAAGTCTATTCTAATAGTCTCTTAATATATGGTTAATGAAGATAAACTCAAGTAAACAGAGAAAAGCGTAACTAAAGATATTAATTTCTTTTGGTGTGCAGAAGAGAAAATATTAGAAATGTTTGATTGTATTATTGTCCTATGGGCAAAAATAGGTTTGAATTCACGGCATTTGAGCAAATTCTGCTTGTAGTCATTAATAGTCCCCTTTTCACATATAATTAGGTAATGCTTTCAGGTGTAATTTCTGCTCCACTGCAGCCTGTTTGGAGAACACCAATAATTTTTAGGCTGACAGTCCACCTTCTGTGAGTGTTAGTCATCAATCATAAATGAAACGTGGCTACCTAAAGTGGACTGTAAGTTCAGCCTGGGTGATAGTGATGTGATACAGCAATTCGTTAGCTGAATTACTGTTATTTAGACCGACTTTCTAGTTTTTCTTATCACTTCAAAGTGAGTTAGCATTAGCAACAGACACATACTTATTTAGAAATCAAAGGTACTGCACAGAAGGAATGTTTTCTTTATTCACTTTTCTCCTGAGATATACAATTCTATATAAAGTTAATGTCCCTAAGATGTATTTTGAAATAAGACAAAAATGTGATATGTGCATAGTCTCATTACTACATTATTTATCATTTGCAGAGTCAGGGATAGGGCAAATTGTAATTTGGTTGTATTCATTTCATTTAAATGAGGAATGTATACTCAAACACAGCTTTTTTACTTCTTATTATGGTCCTGTAAAAATTATTGCACATGTACACAGAAAAAATTTATAACAGTTATAAAACAATAAAATTGAAAACACCCAAAAGTATCAATAAGACCAATTAAAATGTGATATTGTGACACCATGGAATATCAAGGAAAAATGATGAGAGATGAAATAAAAAATAATGGGAGACTATGTGTATAGTTATGGGATATGATTTCCAAAGTATTGTCTAATACCTTGTATGTCTAAATACACAATTACCAAGTACTAAACTATATAAATGAATGTGTGTTTGTATTTGTGTGTAGACTTCTGTTAATGCATGTATACACACATATTTATGTAGGCAAATGCTTTGAAATGATCTGGAAACATATGTATCTAACAAACTGTAGTGGCTAACTCTGTGGAATGAAGTAAAATTTGGGAGTGACGGTCACAAAAGATTTTAGCCTTGTCTGTGTTATCAGCATTTTACCAACATAAATAAATATTTTTATGAGAACATTGAGTTGAAATTCATTTTTGCAGGTGAGGAAACTGAGCCCCAGGATGGAGTGGATAGTAAATGAATTAACTTTATTAAGATCAGGTTCAGTCTTGGAATCGAGCTCACTACTTGCAAACTTGTAACTTTTGTCAAGTTACTGTGTGTCTCTGATGAATGATTCAGTAATTGTTAAAAAGGGGGTGATAATACTACTTATTTTCTTAAGATGTCCATTAGGCACCATACGTCATCTCTCTACTCATTTATTTATTTATTTATTTGCCCCCAGCCATTGACTGCAAAGAGGTGTAGCTTAATAAGGGTCTTGTTTCAGCTTCATCAGGTATGTCAAGAGCTATGTCACTGTGTGGGAGGCCTGTGGGAGACAGGTTAATGGATATGGCATATACAAACACCATAGAGTGCAGGGGGACAATCGAAGGCTTTGTGGGGATCTCTAGAGAGACTGAGTCACAGCAATTACATTTAGATTGGCTTTCTCCTCTCTCCTCTTTGGCTCTTCCCAGTCTCCTTTACATTTCTTGTTCCTTAGGATCACTTCTGATAAAACCTACTTGTATTCAAGGCACTGTTTTTTGGTTAGGTAGAGAGGTTGGGATGGTGATGGGAGAAACATGTACTGAAACAGGATGTGAAGTGAGAAGTGCGGAAAACAATTCCTAGCAAAAGTTAGCATACTAAATGGTAAATATTATTATTGATATCTTATCACAGTTATTGAACAACAAGTTATAACTTTTAAAGGATTATTGAAGTGTAATTGGTATAAACTGCCCATAAAGTGTACCATTTGATGAGTTTTAACATACACATACATTCATGAAACCATCAATACAAAACAATAGACTTTTCCATCTCTACCCCAAGTTTTCTTGTGCCCACTTGTAATCCATCCCTTTCTTCACCACTGTAAAATAGACAAACACTTCTCTGCTTTCTGTAATTGAAGATTCATTTTCATCACAATTTTATATGTTGAAATCATATAGTATGTGCCCTTTTCTGTTTGACTTTTTTCACTCCATGTAATGATTTTGGGATTTAATTGTGCTGTTCACTGTATCAATAGTTCATTCCTTTCTATTGCTAAGTAGTATCTTTATTACATATTATACCACAATTTAAAAAAATCTATTTACCTGTTAATGGAAATTTGGGTTGTTTCCAGTTTGAGGCTTTTACAAATAAAGAGGCTGTAAATAGTCATGTATATGACTTCGTATGAATATATGCTTTTATTTTTTATGAATGAATACCTAGTAGTAGAGTGGCTGGGGCATATAGCAAGTACATGTTTAACTTTTTAAGATAGTTTGAAAATGCCTTCCAAAATTACACCGTTTTATCTTCCCTCTGGCAGAATGAGAGTTCCAGTTTCGCCGCAACCTAATACTCTTGGTATGGCCATTTCTTTTCTTAAGCTATTCTGGTGGGTATGCGATGGTATCTCACTGTGAATTTAATTTTCATTTTCATGATGACTAAGGATGTTGAACATTTTTTCATGCATGCATGTGCCATCTATATATTTCTTTGGTGAAGTATTTTAAACAGAACATGAAATACTATCCCATTTAATGATTAATATGCCCTGAATTGAGTTTGAGATAAGATACCTAAATCTACCAACACCACAGTGGAGTCTTGGTTTCAGTGTTTGTCTCATATTCTGGACATTTAATCATGCTGAATGTCATTTTATTTTTAAGTATATAGTGATGTTACACATTAAAGTCCTTAAATACAAGCTGAATACTTTATTTGCTGTACAGTTTAAGCAGTTAGTCTTATTTTAAGCATGGAGTAAAATTTTGCTGTCTTGGATTTTTTTTAATGGAAAATTTTCAAACATGCAGATAAAACAGAGAAAAACATTAACACCCATTTATCCAATCACAGCTCTATCAAATTTTAACATTTAACATTTCCTACTCTCACTTTTCTGTCATCCACCTTCATAGAAATATCTTAAATTTAGTGTGTAATGTGTTCAAGAATATTTTAATACTTTTAAGAAATTTGTTATCATTCTACAGCTTGATTTTTCATTCAGTATTTCCTTTTTGACATTTATTCATGTTGAACATTTAGCTAAAATTTATTTACTATATGCCATCACACCATATAAATATCCTGTAATTTATATATCCATTCTTCTGTTGATACATACTGAGTTTTGTTTTGAGTCTTTTATCGTTGCAAGCAATACTACAATGCATAGTTCCATATTGTTTCTTTGTTCAAGTATGTATGTTTCTCTTGAGTTCAGCAAATGTCTAGTATCTCAGTCTCACACAGATAACCTTTTGATGTATAGAAGTTATTGAAGTAATCAAATTTATCAACTTATTCTATGATTGTTTTGTTGCTGACTTTAAAAACTTATTCTAAAATAGTCAAAAGATTTTCTCCCCAAATTTTTACATAGTGAGAATTTAACTTTTTTCTCTTTATGTATCTACAGTTATCACAGCAGAAGGATTTACTATGCAGTCTATTCTTTTATTGTTAATTTGCCACAAACAATTCTCTATTTTGTTGGACATTTGGGTAGGTTCCAAGTCTTTGCTATTGTGAATAGTGCCGCGATAAACATACGTGTGCATGTGTCTTTATAGCAGCATGATTTATAATCCTTTGGGTATATACCCAGTAATGGGATGGCTGGGTCAAATGGTATTTCTAGTTCTAGATCCCTGAGGAATCGCCACACTGACTTCCACAATGGTTAAACTAGTTTACAGTCCCACCAACAGGGTAAAAGTGTTCCTATTTCTCCACATCCCCTCTAGCACCTGTTGTTTCCTGACTTTTTAATGATTGCCATTCTAACTGGTGTGAGATGGTATCTCATTGTGGTTTTGATTTGCATTTCTCTGATGGCCAGTGATGATGAGCATTTTTTCATGTGTCTTTTGGCTGCATAAATGTCTTCTTTTGAGAAGTGCCTGTTCATATCCTTCGGCCACTTTTTGTTGGGGCTGTTTGTTTTTTTCTTGTAAATTTGTTTGAGTTCATTGTAGATTCTGGATATTAGCCCTTTGTCAGATGAGTAGATTGCAAAAATTTTCTCCCATTCTGTAGGTGGCCTGTTCACCCTGATGGTAGTTTCTTTTTCTGTGCAGAAGCTCTTTAGTTTAGACTGGATTAAGAAAATGTGGCACATATACACCATGGAATACTATGCAGCCATAAAAAATGAGTTCATGTCCTTTGTAGGGACATGGATGAAGCTGGAAACCATCATTCTCAGCAAACTATCGCAAGGACAAAAAACCAAACACCGCATGTTCTCACTCATAGGTGGGAATTGAACAATGAGAACACATGGACACAGGAAGGGGAACATCACACACCGGGGCCTGTTGTGGGGTGGGGGGAGGGGGGAGGGATAGCATTAGGAGATATACCTAATGTTAAATGACGAGTTAATGGGGGCAGCACACCAACATGGCACATGTATACATATGTAACAAACCTGCACGTTGTGCACATGTACCCTAAAACTTAAAGTATAATAAAAAAAAATTTCTCTATTTTGTTGCAATGCTTCATTTTTCTAAACGTGTTAGATAGCAGGCCATCTTAGTCATTTCATTAAGCCTTGAGATTTGGTGGTGTTATACCACCATGCCCCCTTACCTTATTCTGTAAGAGTGTCTTGGCAACCTAGGCAGTACCATGCATGACAAAGGTATGAGCAAAGATTTTATGGCAAAGACGCAAAAAAACCAAAATTGGCAAATGCAATCTGATTAAACTAAAGCGCTTGTGCACAGAAAAAGAAACTATCCACAGAGTAAATAGACAACCTACAGAATGGGAGAAAAAAATTGCAAACTATGCATCCAAAACAAAACTCTAATATCCAGCATCTACAAGGAACTTAAACACATTTACAAGAAACAAACAAGCAGCTCCATAAAAAAAGTGAGCAAAGGGCATGAACGGACACTTTTCAGAAGAAGACATACATGTGGCCAACAATCATAGGAAAAAAAGCTCAACATCACTGATCATTAGAAAAATGCAAATCAAAAGCACAATGAGATACCATCTCACACCAGTCAGAATGGCTGTTATTAAAAAGTAAACAAATAACATGTTGGTGAAGTTGTGGAGAAAAAGGAATGCTTATACACTGTTGGTGGGAGTGTAAATTAGTTCCCCCATTGTGGAAGACAGTGTGGTCATTCCCCAGAGAGCTAAAGACAGAAATACCATTTGACCCAGCAATCCCATTACTGAGTATATACTCAAGGGAGGATAAATCATTCTATTATAAAGACACATGAATGCATATATTTATTGCAGCACTCTTCACAATAGCAAATACATGAAATCAACCCAAATGCCCATCAGTGATAGACTAGGTAAAGAAAATGTGGTACATACACACCATGGAATACTATGCAGCCATAAAAAAGAATGGGATCATGTCTTTTGCAGAGACATAGATGGAACTGGAGGCCATTATCCTTAGCAAACTAACACAGGAACAGAAAACTAAATAGTGCGTGTTTTCACTTGTAAGAGGGAACTAAATGGTGAGAACACATGGACACACAGAGGGGAACAACACACACAGGGCCCTTTCAGAGGGTGAAGGATGGGAGGAGGGAAAAGACCAGGAGAAATAACTAATGGGTACTAGGGTTAGTACCTGGGAGATGAAATAATCTGTATAACAAACTCCCATGACACAAGCTTACCTATTTAACAAACCTGCACTCGTACCCCTGTACTTAAAATTAAAAAAAAAGTGTCTTGGTTATTCTTGGCCCTTTGTACTTTAGTATAAATGTCAAATAATTGGGAAATTCTAAAGGAAAGCAAAATGTTGGGATTTTGATTTTATACATTAATAATTCACATTATAAGATTTTCATCCAAGAGTATGAAACATTTGTTGATTCAGAAATTATGTAAAATCTTTCAGTGCTGAGTGTGGTGGCTGATGCCTGCAATTCCAGCAGATTGGAAGGCTGAGGTGAGATAATTGCTTGAGGCCAGAAGTCAGAGGCCAGCCTGGACAACATAGCAAGACCCAATCTCTACAAAAAATTTAAGAATTATCAGGGCTTGGTGGCATATCTCTTTAGTCCTAGATGCTGAGGAGGCAGAGGTGGGAGGATCCTTTGAGTCCAGGAGTTTCAGATCATAGTTAGCTATGATCACATCATGGCACTCTAGCCTGGGAGACAGAATGAGACACTGTCTATACAAAATACATTTAAAAAATATTTTAGTAAAATATTTTACATGTAAGTTTGCATATATTTAATTTAACTTATTGCTAAGGACCTAGTTTTCTTTGCTGTTGTTAATTATATTGATTTCAGTCTATTTTAATTGTAAATTCAAATCAAATTTTGCGGATATACAGAAAGATGACTTTCTCATGTTATTTTATAATATCTCTGAACTTTTGTTATTTTATGTAAATTTAGACTTTCTTGGATTTTCATTGAAATCATAAATTTAATAAAGTGATTGTGTTAGGGTTCTCCAGAGAGATGGAAACAATGGGGGGGTGGTGGGGGAGAGACAGAGAGAGAGAGATAAAAGGGGATATATTAGGGGAATTGGCTTGCGGATTATGGAGGCTGAGAGGTCCCATGACAGGTTATCAGAGGGCTGGAAACCCAGGGAAGCTGGTAGCCTGGGGCTCATTACAAGTCAGAAAACCTTGGAACCATGGATGGTATAACTCTGAATCCACGGCCAAAGGCCTGAGAACCATGTGGTGGTGATATGGCATCAAGGTAATGGGGGACTGTGTGTGTGTGTCGGGAGAGAGAGAGAGAAAAAGAAAGAAAGATCGAGCACATACACCTTTCCTCTTCCTCTGCCATTTGTGTTCTGTCTGGCTACCAGCTATTGGATGGTGCTCCCCAAACTGGGGGCAGATCTTCAGTCTCACATGACAAGCTCCTCTCAATCCCCTTGGGAAACAGTCTCACAGACACATCCAGAAATAATGCTTTACCAGCTATGTTGGTATTCATTAATCCACTCAAGCTCACACCTGAAAGTAATGATCACAGTTAATTATTATTGCAATTCTGTCTTATATTTTTTCCTGCCTTAATGCAAAACAATATTAAATATTTTTCTTGATCCTAAATCAGTTGTATAGTAGTATAAAACCATGTGATTCTGTGGTAAATCTTTTTATTATAATTTTTACTTAATATATTTTAAAGCAAACTCTGCTTTGTAAAATTGTGATAATTACAATCTTGTATGAGTCAAATTAGATGTCCTTTATATTGACTAGGATATTACCTAAATAAACTCAAAAAGTACATTTCTTTTAAATAAAACTTTATTTAATAAAAATAATTAGTGTATTAATTAAAATACATCTCAGTTTCTATGGTTTCGTACCCAAGGATTGAATTACTTCTTCTTGAAAGTAATTTTAAATGTCTGTAAATGTTTTTAAGAGCATAAAGATGTGAAAATATATAGATCAAATCGTTAATAATAGTTACTCTCAGGGATTAATATTGTAAGAAGGTGTGAACTCAATGCAGATTATTAACTTTATACTTCTGAATTGTTTGGCTTGTTAAAATAAGGAATAATTACTTAATTTAGAAGATCAAATGCAGTGAAATAAGCACATATTAATAGATAAAAATAATTATAAGCCAAATCATTCAATGGAATGTTGTAGTATACCATTACACATTCTGTGAGTGGTTGGAGTAAACTAAATGAACATTTCCTTTCGATTCTGAGATCATATAATTCTAAATAGAATGACACTAATTTCCCTTTATTTGGTATGTCTGTACCTGTATTTAATTACCACATCTAAAGTGAAGTTTGTTGATCTCCAGTTGACTGGACACAGTCTGGATTTTTACTGACACCTCTTTATGAGGTGTATAAAGCTTAAGAAAGGTCACATTAACAGTTACTGTCATAAGAAGGTTGTGTTAGTCTATTTCTCCTAACAGAACCATATATATATATACACATAGAGAGGGAGACAGAAAGAAAGAGAGAGAGAGACAGAGAGTTACTATTTACTATAAGGTATTGATGGGCCCATTGGGTCAGGTAATTATGGAGCTAAGAAGTCCTATAATCTGCCAGTAGCACAGTGGAGAGTAGGAAAGTAGGTGGTATAGTCTGGCCTGAGAACCAGGGGCACAGAGGGCAAGAGATAGGTGTTCCAGCTCACGCAGTCAGGCTAAGGGAGGACAAATCCTGTACCTTTTTGTTCTATTTATGCCCTCAGCGGATTGGAGGATGCTCACCCACATTGGGGCGGGCCATCTGCTTTACTCAGTCCACCAATTCAAATGCTAATCTTTTCCAGAAACATCCTCACAAACATACTCAGAATTAATGTTTCATCAGATATGTGAGCATCTCATAGCCCAGTCAAGTTGATACATAAAAGTAGCCATCACAGATACCGTCTAATTTCTTAGATGGGAACCCTAAGAGCAGAAAGTCCAGAAAAAAATGTCACAAACTCAAGAGCTAAACATCAAATTCTGTATGATAAGAATTGTGCATCCACCCTTCCTTAAGAATACATAAATAAGTAAAAGCTGACCTCTAAGTGATACATTTTGGGAACAACATTTAAGTAAATTGCAGCTAAGTGGCAATTTTTAATAAAATAAAACACCTGAAGACTGAATATACATTTTGAAATTTTACCATGACTTTCAACATGTTTTACATAAAACTGGAAGTATAGTCAATTATTACAATTATTTATTCTCTCATTAATCAAACAATTTTGAATATTTAATTATACAAATGTAAGGAAAGCAAAGAGAAAAATGTGTCCTCTGAGGACTTTTTATAAATACATTGATTAATTTTTTTGGATGATTTTCTTCACTGGAATTGTTCAACAATATTTCTTTTCTCATTTGAAAACATCTCAAAATATACTTATTGTCTTCAAATAATATACTTCTACTATCCTCTGTGTAGTTGCTTCAAGCCAAAAACTTACTTTATAATCTCGTCTATCCTTTTGGCTTTGAGATTGACATTAGTGTTTATTTTAAATGGACTTGCTTATCAATATGTTTGGATATGAATATAAAAGGGGAATGGATATTTTTAAAAAATATGCATTTACTGGAACATTCAGATATCTGGGACTTAAAATTCTGTGTGTGTTTTTCAGGGATTACCAAATCAGCACTTTTGTGTAAATTACCTGATCTCTGAGATTCTCATTTGTTTTATCTTTAAAATAGGGTATTAACAATACATCAAAGAGTTTGGGTGAGAATACATTGATATAATATATTAAAATGCTTTGTTCACTTTAAAGAGGAATAAAATCTTAATTAAGCCATGGAAGGACTTTTAATGTCCTTATATCCAAAATACATAAGAGGTAGGATTCTTACCAGTATTCTTTACAGCATTCAGAAGGCAGTGTTTCCCACCAAACTAATATTTTCTAAAGACATAACCATATAACCTTTGCAATAAAAGCAAATTTTTCAAGACAAATTTAAACAAAAATATCAAATATTTATGGAGCATTTTCTGTACACTGAGAACTATTCTAAGAAGGCTGCGGAGAGGCAATGAATGAAGTTTCTGCCTTCACAGAGCTTACAGGTTTTATATCAAAGTAATTGCTCTAAAACATCAAAATTCTGAACAAGTCATAGAACATGGCAGAAAATTTGCAATGTAAACACAGTTGAATATATCATGCAGTTCATAATTAGGACCAAATGTAGGTATGAAAACAGATCCTCTTGGGAAAACAGAAACTAATGCTGTTTGCACAGAAGTAAAACTGTACCACAAGTAAACATGCTTTAATAGTGATATGCACTCTGAGGGAGATGTAGTTGAAGTCTGAGCTGGTTTCCCAAAGGGATCACTTTTTGGGAGGCAAAATGAAAAGAGTTTGTTCCAAACTACATCCAATGCCACCCAAAGTTTCTTGCCTATTTATCTCTAATTAGACTTGCATGTTCATATAGTAATACTCTTCAACAAATTAACTTGAGAACAGGAATCAGACTGCATGCATTTTATATTATAAAATGTACTATGCTTATTCTAACAATAATATAAATAAAAGAAAATCCGATACATCACTCCAAGAAGAGGCCAAAGCAGAAAAGATATAGAACTAATTTCAGAGATACAAAATTACATATGATAAATCAAACTCCCACTTCTAGTTTATAAAAGAGATAACATATATTAATGAAATTATCATTTAATATGAAGGTAAGCATATTTTTATTGTTTCAAATTTAGGTATAATATTGTTTCAAATTAGGTATAATGCTGAATGTTTACTATAAATATTCAGGGAAGTGAATCCTTTTTAATCATGAAGCACTAGAGCCATTCTCATAAAAGTCAGAAACAGAGAGGCACTATTGTTATTTAACATTGTTCTAGAGGTCCTAGCCACCTCTATTATATGAGAAAGAAATATAAGGAACACACTGACAAAGAAGGCAACAAAATTAAAATCATTATTTGCAGATGATTAGGATACATTCTTGTCAGTCCCTAGCCTAGAAAAGGACCTTGAGCTATTAGAAAACATAAAATAGGTCAATAATGTTGCTGGTAACAAAATTGGTATATAAAAATAAATAGGTTTCCAATGTAGAAAACAATCAGCCATTGCACACACATTCACCATGTGCATGTATTACTGCCTTAAATTGGGCAGGGAGTTTTCAAATAGGCTTTGTTTTTCCTGGCCTCAATTCATGACATGTTATTACATATGTTCTACCCAAGATTCCCTTTTTGTTTGTTTTTTAAATTCCCTTTTATCCCTGTATTCACCTCTCATTCACTTAACATACCACTTAACCATTCTAATCTGTTTAATGTGTCTTTGCAAAATGCTGTGGTTACAATCATAGTTGTACATAATTCTTTAATGTTCATATACATCTTTTACCTGGCCACTTATTAGCAACAGTGATCAGTTGAAAAGTTACCTAATAAGTTTTTTATAAAGAAAAAATCTTATTATTCTGACTTTCCAGGTATGAGCTGTGTTTTGATTGCCTGTTGTTCACATTCCTGGTGGGGGAGGGATACACATCTTGAATAATCCAAGGTGGCCAGAAACATGACATCCAACAATGGACAGATGAGTTCACAGCAATTTATTAGTCACATATACTGACATCCCACAGGAGGACATCACAGGCCATGGATGTGTAATTGCCGCATTACAGGGCCTCATGGAGGTTGCACTGGAGAGAGGAGTAAACAAATAGGGCTGTAGGAGGCAGGCCTCGCAGTAACAAGGGGGTGAAGTGCTACCAGGTTTTTGCGGCCGGATATGATTGGCTTATTTTAATAATTCTGTGAGCTTCCAGGGAAGTGAACACTATTAGACTGAGGACCCAGTGAATCACATGCAGTTGTCTAGCTGATGGAGAACGAGCCAGGAAAAGACCCTTTCCCACTGGGTGGGAAGTATTTCTGGCCAGGGTGAGGGAACTCATGGTTGTGCCCTTGGGGCCCTGGGAAGCTCCAAGATGTCAAGGCAGCACATGATATGTTAAGCTTTACAAGACAGCTTAAAATTCTTACACTATTTCTTGTGTCAAGGTCTCCCAGAAGCACCATTAAAGTTTCTTATTTTTTGCTCTCCTAATTGGCATTTGAACAACATCCTGTTAGTACCAGAAGTAAAACGAGCCTCCTTCCTGTTTCATTGCATTTATTCCAATGTAACACAGGTCTGCCCTGGAATTTCTATTTTTCAAATATACAACCCATTCACATATGCTGATTTTCTTATTAAATCTCGTGCAAATCTTATTATTTTCAAAAGAAGAGAAGGGGCTAGTAAAAGGACCTGATTTCATATCACTTCAACTGGAATGGGCTGAGAAAATTTAAGTGTTACTATCACATTTAATAGGCTTCTCTTTCCATCCTTCAAAAATAATTCATATCCTGGAGAAGCAGATTGATTGACAGATAATACAGGGCCAAAGACATCGTATGACAATGGAAACTTTACAGTTTTATTCTGAGGAGGAAAACCAGGCCCACTTATAGAAATGATAATGACTGAAATGCAGAGAGAGGCACCTCATTCAGAAGATTTAATGGAGAAGAAAAATAGGTGCCTTCATGTGCAGTGTACAGAAAGATGTGCATAGATTGCTCTTATTAGAGTGAAATAGGCCATGTCATTGACAAGCAAGGATTATCTTGGAGAACAAGACAGGTCATTTCTGGACAGCAGCCCTGGTGTTTAGCACATGAGGAAGAGAGAGCAGAGTGGGAGGCAGAGATTGTGCTGGGATCACTCAGGGGTAGCAGAGAGAAGAACGGGTATCACAGAAGGTGTCATGTATAGGCAAGTGAACCTTGATCATTGTGCTTCCTCAGTACAAAGAGGCACTACTTTACCTTTGTCATCCAGTTAAGTATTTTGTAACATAATATTCATGAGGCTTCTGTAACTCTGTGCCAGGAAACTTGTGGTTTCTCATTAGTGTCATCTTCTTTACCAAGTAATCTAAGAGTGGGTGCTCAAGGGTTCCAGGAAAATGAGCTGTCCGATTCCTGAGCACCTCCCCTCTGGGTTTTCCAGTATGGACATGCATGGACAAGGTTTTAAGCAGGTCCATCAATGTAAATAGAAGCAATATCTACCTCACAGTGTTTTGTCCACACTATTTGTTTATACTTAATTATATTTGTCTACTTACATTTGCATATAAGTCTTTTCTTATTTAATACATAAAAATGCTTTATGAATCATGAGACATTACACATGCTTTTAACATATTTCTTTAATTTGGAGTGACTGTATAGAGGAGCAGAGGATGGCAGAAATAAAATGATCTAATATTTACTGAATAACTGAGTATGCCTCACCCTGTAATGAATGTTTTATTAATCAGAAATACTGAGTTCAAACACCACCTTTGTCACATACTGGCTGCAGGACCATTGCCAATTTTGTTTTTACCATTTCTAAAACTCTGCTTCCTCATTGGTGAATGTCTGTGTAGGAATAATATTAGAATGAGACAAGGAAAATATAAGCTGATCTGTTTGATCATCCAACTCAGCACTTCATACGATGGATGATCCATGCTCGTGAAAACAAAAAAAGAAAAGATTAAATAGTTATTTATTATAATGCATGACTAGGTATTCAACCTAAATATTTGTTAGAAATATTTTCTAAATGATGAATGTAGGAAAGACTAGAACAGAAACTAATACAGAATACAAAATTGCTGGGTTTTCTTAAGCTGTATTTTAGTAAAGGGAAATGTGAATTTATTTAGAAATATGTAAAACTCAGCTAAGAGCAAAGTCTAACACAGGCATTACTGGTGATCAGGTAGGCTCTTATATAAAATATAGGTCTAGTATTTGGAAACATATCAGAAGACATGCGTGGTGGAGAAAACAAGCCAGTCTCCACCTTTGGCAACCTTGGTGAAAAAATGAATGGAATAATCATGGTGTCTGGGATGGAGGGATGGCCCCTACATGTATCAGTAGGGGCCGTGTATCAGTTCCTTGCATGGGCTATCAACAGCAAGGACTGATGCCAAGTCCTACTTTTGGCACCATCAATTGAAGACCAGTGAATCAGTTTTTGGTAAGTTGGAGGAGAAACTATTCATCCTCACTGGAATAGATACATAATTTTTTATGAGTTTGCCTTCCCTGCTGACAGCATTTTGGCAAGCAACAGCATGGAAGAATCAGGGAATATCTAGATTATCAGCATGGGATATTACAGATATTATACTGGACCAGGGGAGCTTTTATAATGAAAGATGTGTGATAATGAAGATATGAAGATGGGAGTCACTGCCTAGAGACAAATACTACCACATACTGAATCAACCAGAATTTGCCAATCTAGTGGAACATTGAATGGCCTCTTAAAGACACAGCCACGATGCTCATTTGGGAATAATTCTCTGAAAGTTTGGGTGACTAGTTTTAAAACTGGAGGGTATATTTTATAGTGATCACCATTATGCATTGTTATGCTTTCAATAGGTAAATTACATGTATCCAAGAACGAAGTAGGAATGACTTTACTTACCATGTCTTCCAGTTTTTCTCTTGGAGAAATTTGTATTCCCATCTCATACTACTATCTAGTTGTTTGGCATCCTCATGCCAGGAGACCAGCAATCAAAGAAAGGGGTGGCTACACTTCCAGGGGTAATTGACTATTAGGAGAAGATAAGGCTGCTTTTCCATAATGAACCAGAGGAGACATAGAACTAGGACAATTCCCTGGGCCTCCTTTGGTGTTTCCAAGTTCTATGACAACTATACATGAGAAAAGGCATCATGCTTAGCCTGAAAAGCACATGAAACCCAAGGTTCAGAAGATTAACTTGCAGCCTTGGGAATTAACTAAAACATCAACTAATGTAGCTTGTTCTAACTCTCTTATACTCTGTTTCTCAAGGAAAACTTGACTGGTTAGTTCTTTGAAGAAGGCAATAATATCACAGGGTGATCTTAATGTAGAGTGTCAATAGAAACGATCAGGGCATGGAGGTTTAGCAAAGCAGAAACAGTTGGTTCTTTGTCTATATCTTTTGGATTTTAGATGCAAAATTCTAACAGTAAGGATTTGCTTCTTTTTTTGCCTAAGGGTTTTCTCAGAAGCCAACAAATGTTGCTCTGCCTACATACAGGGCAGACTTGATGTGCCAAGAAATTAACACTCCAGGCAGCAGCACTCAAGCAATGGCCTACAGGAGCTGATATACAAACACCAGTCTTTTCATCCTGGGGCTGGAATAACTTCAAGGAATGTTTTTAACACCATTTACCAGAGTTTCCCCATAAAGTTTTGCTTCAGTTGCCCTCCGTGGTAATCAGCTTGATTACACACTCCGTATTTGTTGCCTTCCATTGCCTGTCTAACTTTCCTATCCCTGAACAATTTTTCTTGGGATCATCTTCCAAGTAAAATACTTGGATTCAAATTCTCATTTCAGGATCTTCTGTGGGAACCCAAACCTGTTTGGTAGGGAGTAGGAAAACAGAATCTTACTTAGGAAATGTTAAGTTCAAGTGTGCCAATGTGTGTAGATTGATATCAGTTAGTCCATGCTTTATCCAAAATAACAGAATATCTGAGGAAGATTTAATCAAATAGGGAGGGTTCTGTTTTTTTTTGTTTTTTTTTTTTCTGTCTCACACTCACACACAAAAATCAGCGTAGTCAGTTTTAGGAGGTCCATCGTTAAGAGGAGATGTTGCTGTGGTTGAGAGGTGGCCCCACAGTGTCAGCGTTTTGGGTAAATATGTTGTATGATTCTCTTGGCCTTCTCCTCCCTGTACAAGATGGCTGCTGTAGTACAAGTATGAGACACCCTTTTTCAGAAAGAGGAAATTGAAGTGGAGGTTTTCTTTTGATTTATTTTTATTTTACAAACCTTTTCTAGAGATTCCTCAGGTAGATTCCCTTTAGTTTCTCAATGGCAGAAACAATTTCCATGCATCAACATAAAAGAGTTGACTCAACTTTCATGCTATTAGTGAATGTTTGTCTGTACCAGAACAAAACTGTGACACAAGGAAGAAAAGAATGTGGCTTTGGAGTAGGCAACAAAAAATTTCTGCCCCAATCGGAAATGGAGTTGAAAATAAGGAGTTAGCTTTATGTTTGAAGATCAAAGGAGTAATAAGAGAAAAAATTATAGAATTATAGTCAAGAACATATAGATATCACTTAAAATAATAAGATGAGATCACTTAAGAGGTGAATGAAACTAAGAAGAATGGGGAGGCCAAAGGCTGAACCCAGCTCCACTGCCATATTTAGAGGTAGAAGAGGAGGAAGATAAATAGCAGTAGAGAGCAAACCAAGGGTGGAATGTTCTAGAAGCCCAGTGAAGAACGTCTTTAGAGAGGAAGGAAGTGATCTCACATGCAGCTCACAGGTAGAGTAAGGTAAGAAAATCATTGTGTTTAGTGATCTGGGGTTCATTGGTGACCAAAGTAAGACAGTTTCAGAGGAATAATAGAGGTTAAATTATTACAGGAATGTGTTAAAGAAAGGAATGGAAGTGAAGACCATGAAAAAAACTCTGAGGAGTTTTATCCTCAAGAATATCAGAGAACTGGGGTAGTAACTGGAAAAGGACATGAGGCTTACGTAGGATGCTGCCTTTATTGATCATGTAGGAGAGGAAGAAGAGTTGTAGATTTGTCTTCAGATGTACTCAGTTGCTTGGGTAAAAGCATGAAGTTGGTGGAAAGTTATATTTCTCTCAATGTAATTATAGTTTGTGTGCTTTTTTGACTCAGTTTTAAATTTTCTAATGTTTTATTTTTAGTTGATACATAATTATACATATTTACGGAATAAAGAGTGATATTTTGATACATGTATATAATGTGTAACGATGAAATCAGGGTAATTAGCATATCTGTTGCCTCATACATTTTTCTTCGTGCTGGGAACATCCAAAATACTCTCTTCTAGGTTTTTGAAAATATACAATATATTTTGTTAACTATATTCACTCTATATCCCTACAAAACAGTAGAACTTTTTCCTTCATTCTAGCTATAATTTTGTATCTGTTAATCAATCTCTTCCTATCTTGCCTTCCCCCATTCCCTTCTTAGCCTCTAATAACAATCTGGCTCTCTACTTCCATGAGATCAACTATTTTAGCTCTCACATATGAGTGAGAACATGCATTATTTATCTTCCTGAACCTAACCTATTTTACTTAATATAATGTCCTACAGGCTTATCCATGTTGCTGTGAATAACAAGATATTATTCTGTTTTTTGTGTGTGGCTGAATAGTATTCTATTGTGTGTATCTGTGTACTCACATATCATCTTTATTTATTCATTGATAGGCACAGGTTGATTTTGTCTTGGCTGTTGTGAATAGTGTTGCAATAAACATGGGAGTACAAATATTTCCTCAAAATACTGATTACCTTCCTTTGGATAAATGCTCAGTAGTAGAATTGATGGGTGACATGGTAGTTCTATTTTTGGCTTTTTGAGAAACCTACATATTGTCTTCCATAATGGCCATACAAATTTACACTTCCACCAAAATTATATGAGTTACCTTTTCTCCACGTCTTCGCTAGCATTTGTTATTTTTCATCTTTTTGCTAATAACCATTCTAACTGCAGTGAGATGATATCTTATAGTGGTTTTGATTTGCATTTCCCTGGTAGCTAGTGATGCTGAACATTTAAAAATGTATCTGCTGGCCATCTTTAATTCTTCTTTTAAGAAATGTCTATTTATAGCCTTTGCCCAATTTTTAACCAAATTGTAGTCTTGCTGTTGAGTTGTTTAAGTTATTTTGTATTCTGGATATTAATCTTTTGTCAAATGACTAGTTTGCAAAGATTTTCTCGTATTCTAAAAGTTGTCTGGTCACTGTGTTGATTGTTGATTTTTTTTTCCTGCACATGAGCTTATTAGTTTGATATAGTACCACCTGTTTATTTTGTTTTTGTTGCCTGTGTTTTTGAAGTCTTACTCAGAAAATCTTTGCCTAGAGCAATGCCCTGAAGGGTTTTCCCTGTGTTTTATAGTTTTATAGTTTTGGGTCTTATATTTAAGAAATTACATTTAATCAATTTTAAGTTGACTTTTTTATATGGTGAGAGATATGTTGATCCAGTTTTGAGGTCCTAGCTAGAGGCCTGCCAATTTTCTTAGTGAGCTGCTAAATCCATGACCCACAACTACTTTTCTTATCCGTCTTTCACTCCAGGCCACTATATACCTGCCCTGGTCACCCCAGGACAAGGTACTGGACAACTAAGGACAACCCCTATGTTCCAGAGTTCACTAAGATTATTCAAATTAACCAACCCATGAAGAACCTGCAAAACCTAGCCAGTCCTACCCCACTTGCCATACATAAGTGGCTCATTACAGTTTCAGCTTGCTGTTTCCCTGCACTGAGGTGCAACACTGCACAACTCTGCCTGACATATTTCTCTGGCTTGGAGCTGAAGGTAACAAAAAATTCTACCTTTAATACGTCTGAGTGTGACTGTATTGTGTCCCACCATCAAAATACCTTTAAATCTTATAAAATAATAGGTGAGTAGATTGGAAAGTACATCAGTTGACGATAAAGAGAGAGGCAAGTTGGGTGATTGTGTAATTAAAGCAACAATTGTGTTTGACTATGAACACTAAGCTGAAGAAGAAGGAAAGTGAAGGTGTATTGCAAGTAACCATGAATAGGAGGTACAAATAGAGTCAAAAGATTTTGCACTGCAGCTGGTGCAGTTATCTGTACTGACTGTGGAGCTGGTTACCTGAGATAAAGTAACACAAATAGTTGTTAGGAGTCAGAAAGTAAAAGAAATGAAAATCCAAGGTGCTGTTTTTATGATCTACATAGATATTGATGATTATAGTAGTTTTATTATTCTAACAACTTCAGTAACCACTGAGACAACAAAAAATTATTATTCACTGTTATGTTGACTACATAAAATTACAAGTTTAACGTGACAGTACCTTCCTGTTCCTTTTTAAAAAGATATTTTCTTTCTTTTTCATAAAAATTTTTAAAAAAATTATTTATAGCTAAGTATTCATGGATCTAGTGTATCTATATTTATGAGCATTCCTTGCTTTTTATAAATACCCTTTGTCTAATAAACTTTTGTGTAATTAAACATTAAATTTCCTACATTGTGATTCTACCTCAAAACTGGTTATGTATGGCTAATGATTTTTTAATGGCCTTATTGATTCTTCCTCTGGATTAAACACAACTTGGACACTAAGCAGGCTCTCCAGTTGTTCGTAAACCATCATGTTCTTTACAATAATAGTTGCCAAAATTTGTTCTGTTTTCCATACAAGACTTGTGACACGATATTCATTTTCAACATTCTCTCACGGGTGTATCAAAGTTTATAGTCTGTGACAGAAATTGCATGGCTATAAGAGCTATACCCCTGCCGTTTCTTTCCTTCTGAGGATAAAATGGGAGAATTCTAGTGAATACACCTTTATTTTATAAATATTCCCTGATAGAGTCCATATCAAGGATAAGTCAGGGTGCTGTCCTAGAGAGCAGGGAATAAAGAAGAAACATATAGGACATTCAGAGATCATGGAAGGGCACTTTGGGGCATTGCACTTGGACAACAAATTCAAAATTTGTATTATGTATGTAATGACTCTTCGAGGAGGACCTGTAAACTTCAGCCCACAGCTTATCTTTGTCAGACTAAAATTAGCCAATTTAAGGATTTCCTGTTTGAAGTTACATTCAGCCTGGGAACTAGAATGGGGCTAGCTGTTGTATTCTGGAGAGCACCGAGGTTAAGAAATAGGAAGGAACCTAGAATTCTGCAGATAGAACGTCCTAACTCTATCCACAGGATGGATGCAGCAGAATAGTAATAAATATTTTGACTTTAAGATTTGAGATATGAGGATAGATGACTTGAACTCTTTTGATTCTACTTATATTACTCTACTTTAAGTGCAGAAAGTCAAATTTTCCTTCCTCTATCCTGAGACTATCCTGAGTAGCTGAATAAATTGTATTGTCAAATATTATCAGTATTAATTGCAAAAAAATGTCCTCTTTACAGGCAGAGAACATAGCAGCTTAGACACTCCAGTGATGCTTGAACAACAAAAAATAGGTACTACATTTTCTTTTTTGGGGAAGATATTAGTGTGGACAATTAAATGCTTGTGCCTGGGCCTGGTACTCTGAACAATCTTCTCTGAAATTCCTATGACCTTTCCCTAAGAGTGTGTTTGCCTTCCTAAGGTAAATTTGAAAAAACAATTAGGATTTTTTAAATAACAAACTCCTAGTATTTAGAGAAATCTTTTGTGAAACCCTAGAACTAGACAAAGTCAAGAAAATTGCTTCCCTGTTCTGATGAGAGTAGGGAATGGACAGAGAAGGAGAACCCTAAATTCTTCAAATTCTTCTTTTCTCCTAAAAGTCTTTTTTTTTTTTGAATAATCCTAAAAGATGGTCCAATAATGATGAAAGAGTTCTGACATTTTGCTTGTCAGGGGGCAGAAGATGCATTAGATAATTGATCCTAACTTTATAGCTATGTGATTATTTATTGATTTAACAGTTTTGCAAACATAAAATCTGTCATGTAGAATTCAGGACTCAGGTAAACAGCTGGGCCATAATAAATATCAACTGGGCTATATATTCATATATATCCTTTGGGGGTCATACTTCTAGTAATAACCAAGAAAGAGATGGCAACTGACTTCAGAATACTATGACATCATTGAATATTTACATGTACAACTCAGTAATGTCCATGATAACACTAATATTTTTTATTTGTCTTTTCTGAGATGAGGAATTTGCCAGTGATAAAAGTTTTACTACTTGCCTTAGTTTAGACATCCATTAGATGAGGGAGCATTGATATAAGCTCATAAAGTCTGACTCCAGAGGCTTGTTTTGAAATATAAAACAGGTGGTGTTCAACCTTTAGAATTTTAAAAAACAACTTGATGTGTTTTCAAAAATGCATATTCCCAGGCCTTCTTTAACAACTAACTTCATAGGCTACTTTAATAAAGACTGATGTGCAGTCAACTTCTCTTCCTTTTTCTATATTAACTTTCCCATAACTTCAATGACCTCGTATGCATATAAGCTCCCATCTCCAACTATCAGAGCTTAAAATCAATAGTTTCAGCTGCCTATTGGACCTCATACCACAGTCTGCATAGAAGGCATCACATGCAATATAGCTCAACCTTAACCCGTATCTTCTTTTCAACTCTCCTTTTCATCCCATTTTGTATCTCAGTCTCTGTCATACCGTTCCAGTCAAACCAGAAACCTCCAGGACCTCATTGATTTTTGTCTCCCTTTTCATTCTTCAAGTAGAATATGGTTTGATTTTTCTAAATTATAAATCAGGTCATTTTGCTCTCCTATAGATATTGTTTCCTGTTGTCTTTCATTCTCATATACCTCTCTCACCCACTCCCAATGTACTCTAGCCACAAGATGTTCAGCTGTTAGAGCACACCCAGTCATTGCCTGTGTAGAACTTCCCTATATCTGGAAATCCCTATATATACTTGTCACTGTCCCCACTTCCTTACCATCCACCACCTTTATATGTGACTAGACCGTATCTCATTTCAGACTTTGCTTCTCACCATAACTTTCTATCTTGAGACCCTTTTATTTCTCTATAGCTCTTATCAGAAGTTGCTACTTTAGTACTATCATTAATTTTTTCATAATACCTTCAGGTATGTAGAAAAATAGCATAAATATGTATAGATAGATAGATATTTAAAGCAGTTCCATTTTTTTTCTCAAGAAGTTATAATACCTTGAGTGGGGAAACAATTGAAAGATATTTCTGTCTCTTCAGATGTAAAGTCTCATTTCCTTTAAATATTGAATATATCAAAGTTTGCCTCCCCTTTACAGATAAAGGTAAAACTTTACCTTTTTGGTGATTTATCTTACTGTGACTTAAACTCTTATGCCAACCTTATTTATTCGCAATAATAGCTAAGATTTCTTAAGTTATATTATATGTTCACTACTAAGTTATGTGTTCACTAAATACAACCTTTTTTGTACATTTTATCAATTTCAGACATCTGTGGCTTAAATAGTCAATCATTTAACAAACAGGCAATATGTACAATGTGAACAGCAGTATGCAATGTGGGCGTATTAAAAGGCCTAAGACATTAGTCGCGTTACTGTGTTTCATACAAGCCAACTTCACTTTTGTCAAGACAGCTTCAGTTCTCCACGTATGCTCTGTCACTATCACAATGATACATGCTGCAGCCTCATCTTCTCCCTGCACCCCTAAAGTGAAGGCAAACGATGAGCCACCATCATGCTCTACATTCATTCCTCTATTAGCTTAAATTGCATGTGTTCCATTGAACAAATCTGTACAAACAGCCAACAAACCATGAGAACTTGTATTCAGCAGGCAGAAAAAATAGGGCATTCTCTTCACACAGGCCAAACCCTGGATTGATTTCTGTGCTTATTTTGTGATTTGGTAGAGCACAGGTTCATACAGACTCGGCTATGTTTTCTTTACTGTTAGAATTTCTTAGTTGTCGTGACAGTGTAACCTCCCACCATGAATCCTAGCTCAGTTTCAGAGTGATGCACCTTCCTCTTGGTTTTCAGGGTGTAGGCAGAGTTATCTGGGTGTCTCAGTCTGTTTTATGCTGCTATAAAAGACTGAGTAATTTATAAAGAACAGAGATGTATTTTGTATGGTTCTGGAGGCTGGAAAGTCCAAGATCATGGGATTAATATCTGGCAAGGGTCTTCTTGCTGCATCATCCAATGACAGAAGGCCAAAGAGAAGGTTAGAAAAAAGCAAACTCACAGCTTCAAGCCCACTTATAATTGGCATTAATTCATTCATGAGGTTGGAGCCCTTATTAACTAAATACCTCCCATTAGGCCCCAGCTCTCAACATTGTTGCACTGGGAATTAAATTTCCAACACATGAACTTCGGGGAATACATTTAAGTTATACCATTTGGCTTAGGTTCTTAGTTTTACTCCCCAAAGAAGAGACCATGTACTCTAGACCGGTGAAGATGTTAAAACTTCTCTCTGATAATTTATGGTTGATCTAAGATAATCATAATAACTTGATGTTTATCAAAGTTTTATACACTCATTATGTTATCTAGCTACTAGAAGCAATGTAAAGCATCAATAACCTCTTCAAATCTCGACTTCCCTGGTTCTATAAGTTCCCTCACAATACTGGGTTTCAATCTTCTTATTTATGAAAATAAATAAACACTGGTATAATTGTTTTAATATCTGAAAAAGAATTTTTCAGATCTCATTTTGTCAGACAGAATTGCTTAAGTTTTTCTAGCTATCCATGTTTTCTGCCTCTTCCTAATGAGAAATTGTTAACTAAGGCTAAGGACACATTGAGTCATTTGTTTTTAGGTATTACTACTATTGCTTTGGTTTCTTTCAGGTACATTCACTGTCTTACCCTCCTGGAATGAGAATTATACTTTATTTCCAAGAATCTTTCTTTTTGGAGTTGAATGAATTGCAGTGATTTACAGACCAGTCATTATTTCTGCTAATAATTTAGAATAAAGTGTATACTTTTATGCTGATGCAGAGGATGGTCACATTAAACCAATGAAGTTTTTTACTCGAATATTCATTTGTGTTTGTGATATAAATTGGAGGAGGAAAATAATTTTCACTGCTGGAACATAAAACAGATTAGACATAATGGTACAAAAAGGCAAACCATAATCACCCTTTTGAAAATTAATGTCTTTTACAAGATACAAAGTCATTTAAAAAAATGTCACAACATTTTTAACCTAGTCTAGTTTCTATGCTCCAGGAACACATCCACTCTGTTCACCTCATTCTGGGAAGCTGGTACCAATAATTAAATAAATTGCAGTGTGGAGAAGTTACAGTCATTTAACATGGCACAAAGCCAACTCTTTCCTTCCACTTTTAAAAAAATCTATTAGTATTCTATTTCCTGACTCCTAGACATTTTTTGACAAAATTGTTTTATTAAAAATTTTATTTTTCTCGGTGGTATATGATTTTTGTGAAAGCAAGCTTATGTTCACAGAAATATGGGCATAAAGTATTATGCTTTGTAGTTATGTTTATTTCAGCAAGGGTAAAATACATTAGGCCTAAAGTATCTGTATAATGTGATTATTAGATTTCCAAGTAAAAAGATTCTGATGTTATGTTAGAGAGCCCAATGTGGATTTCCTAGAATTTCATGTGAGGCATTGCTCTAAACCTAAGCCAGTTTAACATTGTGCTGCCTGTATGTGGCTGATGCATATTATATACAGTTGCAGTCTCATTCTAACATTATCTATATTACTTTTATGTTTTAAATCTAGCTGAAATTTATTTTATTATGTGTGACCAAAGTAAAAATCTAATTGCATTTGTTCTCCAAATGTAATTTCTATAAATACCATATGTCTCTATTAATATTATGTATATGCACACACGTATACTCTGAAAGCATGCATAAATAGTATGAAAAACAAAAGTAATAAAGGGAAACATTGATAAGTTGACTATATTAAAATGTATTATAAGAGACATTAAAAAAATTAAAAGACTATTTGGATAAAATATTTTTGATAAAAATAATTATTTATTAAAGACATAGGATTAACATTCAGGGTTCATAAAGAGCTCCAAAATAGTAAAAAAAAATTAAAACTCAGTAGGAAATTAAACATATAACTTTTTTTCTCTTAAGGGAAAATGTAAGCAGCCATTAAATATATGAAGAGATGCTAAGCCTCACTTGCATACTGAAAACTGTAAATTAAAATAACCCTGAGATGTTTACTTTTATATATCAGCTTATTAGAAATAGAAAAATCTGATAGTATCAAGTAATTGGGCAGTAGATAATTCTCACAAACTTTCTTTATGGGAATAAAGTTTAGACTTGTCATTTCAACAGGCAAACTCCACTAAAATTTAAAGTATTTATACTCAAGTATTCCACTTTTTCATGTCTATCTTGAGATTCACTTATACTTGTTGCATATACACGGACATTAACTGCAGTATTATTTATAAAGCAAAATATCAAGAAAATCCTAGGCCAGGCATGGTGGCTCATGTCTGTAATCCCAGCACTTTGGGAGGCTGAGGCGGGCAGATCACAAGGTCAAGAGATCGAGACCATCCTGGCCAACATGGTGAAACCCCGTCTCTACAAAAAAAAAAAAAAAAAAAAATTAGCTGGGCATGGTGGTGCGTGCCTATAGTCCCAGCTACTCGGGAGGCTGAGGCAGGAGAATGGCGTGAACCCTGGAGGAGGTGGAGCTTGCAGTGAGCCAAGATCGCGCCACTGCACTCCAGCCTGGGCGACAGAGTGAGACTCCATCTCAAAAAAAAAAAAAAAAAATCCTATATATCTGACAATACATTTATAATTAAACTATCGTATGTACACACTATGAAATTCTATGGAATAATTAAAGAGACATTGATTGGAAAAATGAATGATGCATATAGTATACATACTTTATGTAAGTAGAAAATACAAAAAAACTGTATGTATTTATATAAATGTATGCATAAATTTATTCTGTAGGTAAAGCCATTGGTAAGCAAATAAATGTGAAAAATCTAGAAGAATTACAAACTTACAATAGCTAGAAGAATTACAAACTTAGAATAGAGGTAACCCCTGGTAAAAACACGAGCAGAAATTTTGACTTTGTTTATAGTACATTTTTTTTTATCTATATGAAAGCACTAATATATTATTTGGCTAACAAAAAGAAATAATTACCTTCCGAATAAATCCAGTTTACTTTTAGAAGTAATACTATTATGCTTTTGAATTACTTTTTAGATGGGGAAAGAGAGTTTGAAAAGTGTGACCAAGGTCCAGTTTGAAACAAACAAAATGAAGGTCTAAAAAATTAACACCATAGATTTGTTAAGGTAGTTAGACTAAAATTATTAGTCTCTCCTCCACTGTCCTTATACAGGAAAACAGGGATCCAGATTCAAGATCTGAGATTAAAATATCTATTTATAGTGTGATGGTTAATACTGAGTGTCAAATTGATTGGATTGAAGGAGGAAAAGTGTTGATCCTAGGTGTGTCAGTGAGGGTGTTGCCAAAGGAGATTAACATTTTAGTCAGTGCGCTGGGGAAGGCAGACCCACCCTTAATCTGGTGGGCACAAGCTAATCAGCTGCCAATGAATATAAAGCAGTCAGAAAAACATGAAAAGGCAAGTCTGGCCTAGCCTCCCAGCCTACATCTTTCTCCCATGCTGGATGCTTCCTGCCCTCGAACATTGGACTCCAAGTTCTTCAGTCTTGAGACTTTGGACTGGCTCTCCTTGCTCCTCAAGCTTGCAGACAGCCTATTGTGAGACCTTGTGATTGTGTAAGTTAAGACTTAATAAACTCCTCCCTCTCTTCCTCTCTCATACATATATATATGAGATGAGATATATGTGTGTGTGTGTGTATATATATATATATAGAAGTATCTATATAATGTGATTATTAGATTTCCAAGTAAAAAGATTCTGATGTTATTAAGTTAGAGAGTCCAATGTGGATTTCCTAGAATTTCATGTGAGGCATTGCTCTAATATATATATATTCTCCTATTAGTTGTGTCCCTCTATGGAACCCTAATACATATGTTAACCAGAGTCAAGTCTTTGTGCTAACAAAACGATGTCTTTAGAGAGATTCATCATTTGCAGTAATTCTTTTTAGTTTAAATGTAAAATTTTTTCATGTATTTTATGAGTTCCCAGTCTTTGAGATGTTTTTCTTCTTTGGCTAAGAACATTGTGTCATTTGAAATGAAACAAATTTAAATACACAGCGCAAGAATAAAAGACTAGTCAAAAGTTTTATGTGCCTTTATCAAATTCAATGTCCAAATAATACTTGTCTATTATCTACATTTCCTCCAGTTCTTTGCTTGAAAATGAGTGTTGAGATAAATTTGACTGCAAATAACTAAAATTCCACCAAATGCTTTGGTTTAAAAGAATATTTAATATGTTCAGAAATCCACAGATATGTACGTCCAGATTTATTTTAGAGGTTCATTGATGTCAAGTATTCAGGGTTTCCATCCTTATGTTTCAAAATGCCCAGAGTGTTGGCTTTTCATTCTTCTGCTTTATTGCCACATTGTGACAAGATAGCTGTTACACCTCCAGGCATCACTTCTTTATCTCAATATTTTAAGCTAAAAAGAAATGGCTACGGGAAATGCTTTTCTTTTCACAAAGTTGTGTGTATTGACCTGGAACAATAATCTATTTCAAAATTTCCCCAGCAGAACTTACTCTTCTTTCATCCTGGAACCTATGTTTCATGGCCATGCATATTATGAAGAGAGGGTGGGAAAATACATGGAAAAGGGGACTGGTATTATCATGGTTGGTTTAGACTAATACTGATTAATCTACTGGTATCAGCAGGCACACATATTTTCCCAGAGTTTGAGGGATTTGTGCCTGCTTACATGAATGGATCAGAGTTTCATAAGCAGAGGAGAAGGTGTGAGTGGTGATGGCTGTTGCATAGGCTCTGAACAATAAGAATCTTCAGTTGTTCTTACAATCTTTTCTCTCAAAGTGACATTGCTTATTCAGTGCTAAGAATTAAAGTCAGAGGTTGCCTGTATGTTTCAGATCGTTTTGAAGCCTCAACCAGTTTATAATTTTTTTTATTATTATACTTCAAGTTCTGGGATACATGTGCAGAACGTGCAGGTTTGTTACTTAGGTATACACGTGCCATGTTAGTTTGCTGCACCCATCAACCCATCATCTACCCTGGTATTTCTCTTAATGCTGTCCCTCCCAATAGCCCCCCACCCGCTGACAGGCCCCAGTATATGATGTTCCCCTCCCTATGTCCATAAGTTCTTATTGTTCAACTTCCACTTATGAGTGAGAACATGCAGTGTTTGGTTTTATGTTCCTGTGTTAGTTTGGGAACCAGAATGATGGTTTCCAGCTTCATCCATGTCCCTGCAAAGGATATGAACTCATCCTTTTTTATGGCTGCATAGTATTCCATGGTGTATATGTGCCACATTTTCTTTATCCAGTCTATCATTGATGGGCATTTGGGGTGTTTCCAAGTCTTTTCTATTGTGAACAGTGCCGCAATAAACATACGTGTGCATGTGTCTTTATGGTAGCATGATATATAATCCTTTGGGTATATAAACAGTAATGAGATTGCTGGGTCAAGTGGTATTTCTGGTTCTAGATCCTTGAGGAATCACCACATTGTCTTTCACGGTGGTGGAACTAATTTACACTCCCACCAACAGTGTAAAAACGTTCCTATTTCTCCACTTCCTCTCTAGCATCTGTTGTTTCCGGACTTTTTAATGATTTCATTCTAACTGGCAAGAGAATGGTATCTCATTATGGTTTTGATTTCCATTTCTCTAATGACCAATGATGACAAGCTTTTTCTCATATGTTTGTTGGCTACATAAATGTCTTCTTTTGAGAAGTGTCTGTTTATATCCTTTGCCCACTTTTTGATGGGGTTGTTTGTTTTTTTTCTTGTAAATTTGTTTAAGTTCTTTGTAGATCCTGGATATTAGCCCTTTGTCAGATGGATAGATTGCAAAAATTTTTACCCATTCTGTAGGTTGCCTGTTCACTCTGATGGTAGTTTCTTTTGTTGTGAAGAAGCTCTTTAGTTAAATTAGATCCCATTTGTCAATTTTGGCTTTTGTTGCCATTGCTTTTGGTATTTTAGTCATGAAGTCTTTACCCATGCCTATGTCCTGAATGGTATTGCCTGGGTGTAAGATCTCAATGAACAGAAGATTGCTTAGTGAAAAAAAATCAGAAAAATTCTCAAGGGGCTCCTTTCATGGCTCATGAAGCAAGTGAATAAAAAAACAGAAACTTAGTGGACTTTTTTCTGTCTCATAGCAGGCCTCAGGTATTTAAAGATCAGAATATTCCAGTTCTTCTATTATATAGATAATGCTAAAGAACATTAGTATATATTTCCTCTGATACTCCCCACTTAGTTCTACACTTCACACATTCCATCTCCCCTTTGTTAACAGTCTACATTAATATGGTTTTTATACAGTGAACTAGATTTTGCTTTCTTAGCCAGAATTATATTTAAGTCCTGTTTTTACTCAGAAACTTTGGTAACTTTCATTGGATTTGGGAATTTCCAGATTTTCTCAGCCTTATACTTATCGACAATGAGCTAAAAACAGGTTTTCCTTGGTATTGATGGGGCATTGGTTCCAGGACCCCACAGATACCAAAATCTGCAGATGCTCAAGTCCCTTATGTACAATGGCATAGTGTCATCATATAAACTCTTCACATCTTTTTGTATATTTTAAATAATCACTAGATTACTTATAATACCTGATACAATAAAATGCTGAATGATGAGAACACATGGACACAAGAGAAGACCAACACACACTGGGGCCTGTTGTGGGGTGGGTATGGAAGGGAGCACATCAGGAAGAATGGCTAATGGATGCTGGGCTTAATACCTAGGTGATGGGATGATCTGTGTAGCAAACCACCATGGCACACATTTACCTATGTAACAAACATGCACATCCTGCACATGTACTCCTGAACTTAAAAGTTGAAGAAAAAAAAAAGCATATATTTATACAATAAAATTACTTATAAGTCAAATACAAAACATAGGCTGTAAGACCAGTATGGGTCATATAGTAAGGATATAATAATTCAAACAAAAGCTTCTCACTTTCACACCTAAATGCAAAAAAACTAGGATTGTCTCTTTATATTTAGATTTGAAAGACACAAATTGTAGTTGACTCTTACAGCTTCATTTTCTCTCCATCTACTTGGTACCCCCCCTCAGTGAGTTAGGGATGTCTGCTTACTTACTTAAAACATGGTGCATTGAAATAACAGTAGCAGCTGTACTTCCTTCGATGTGCTTTCTCTCATTAAGCTCTACACAGAGCTGACCTTCTATTCAGAAATCCTCATGATGTGCTTACTGTTTGCGGAGATTCAAAGCTTTCAAATTATGACTAATAAAAGCATCTGCTTTTACTGGACCAGAAAATCAACACTGTTTAATCACAAAGGAATTGTATATTTAAAACAAAATTACAGTGAACATACTGAAAATCAAATAAAGCAAAAGCATTATGTCATATTGAGTTCTTGTATAGCAGTTTTGTTCCAGCTCTCAGCCAACTTAGCTATTTCTGGCAGCAAATCCCTCCTGTAACTTGATATCTTTATCCCATCAAATTATAAATTTAAAAATATTCTCTTGGTCTTTCATATGTCCTTGTAAAATCTAAACCTTAGTATCTTTTCTGTTGATTAAAAAAAATCCTAAAATATTTGGTTTAGTTTTCATTAAAAAACAAACGGACAAAATTTTGACCAATTTAAACACCTATATTCATTCTATGTTTAATCCTCATCCCAGTTTGCTAGCTCTATTCATTCACAGAAAACAAATGTCAATAAGATTTCATTTTGAAAGCCTTCTAATGACAGTACTATTAATTTGATACAAGAGTCAAATAGATCCTCTTTAAATATCTTTTTTCTTCTATAAATTAAATAAATTTAAGAAAATAAAACAATTGTTTTTCTATGGAACAAACCACCCACCCTAAACTTTTCCACCTTGTCACAGTGAACTTGTCTCAGTGAGTTAGAAACCTTAAAAGAGGTAAAGGATAGCCATATGACTGACAATTCAAGCATCTGAGTGGCTCATTTCTTTTGAGACTTTCATTACTCCACTCCGATTCTCAACTCTTTCATGTGAGATGGAATTTCAAATATGTAGAAGGAATTTTCTAGACAATTTTGGTTCTTCCACATTTAACCTAGGAAGATGCAGTTTTGAATATGTGAACTATTAATTGATTGCACTGAAAGTTTGCTAAATGCTGTGGAGTTTATTCATATTTGGTAAAATACCAGAAGAGCCATAAGAGTCAAAGCTTTTTTTCTGGGAAATATGCAGTATGTCCATATTAGAAATATCAAAGAATTAAAGTTAAGGTGACTGGAGTCTAGTGCCAGTACTGAGTCTAACTCGCAGTGTGATCTCAGAAATGGTTTAACCACCCTGAGACTCAGTCCCTTCTTTAGAAAAATAGAGGTGTTATACTACATGATCTAAGGGCATTTTAAAACCTGAATTCCAGATTAATGGTTAAATTATTTGGTTAAAGAGGAGAGAAAGGAAATTATGTGTACTCATTATGTGAGATAGAGATCCGTTATGAGATAGGAAGTGAGATGTGGAAGGCCATTTGAATATAGCATGAGAGGAACAGATTAATAATCCTAAATGCTTTCACTGTACTGTAGACTTGGTGAACCATTTATTTTCCTTTTAAGATGTGATGTACATGATGAAGCACTCAAAATTTTCTCTGGAGGTGTTTGCTTTGTCAGGGCTGATTCCAGTGGCCTCATTGGCTCTACTAAGTGGTGGATTCATTTATTTATATTGATATAAAGCCTTCATTCATAGTTCAAGGATCTTAGATCCTTAGCTCATCCTTAATTGTGGTGATAATTTTGCAACCTTTCTAAAAACAGACAAGATATTTTTAATTATACAGTAATGGAAACATAATGAAGTAATTTTCTGTAATTTTGGATTTTATCACTTATTTGTCACTGCCCATGTTTCTCTTTCTGAGATGACTGTTTTAGGATGCATTTATATACGTATTTACTTATTACAGAAGGGATGTAAGACAGCTAACAGAGAATGCATAAAATATAGCAAGATAATACAAATGCTTAATGAGAATAAAAGAACAAGAGAAATGGAGGAAGTAAGGCAAATAAATAACTAGCACAGAGATCTACAATTAAATCTCTAGGGTAAGCAAGCTTTGTCATATCCATGGGTTAAAAGGAGGTCCTGGTAAGCCTCACAGTTCTTAATGTTCCAGATGTAAATAATTGTTGTCAGAAGAGCACTCTAATTTTGAATTCTTAGGCAAAGAGGAAGAGCAAAGTTCTGGAAAATCAGACTACTTTGGTTCAAATTATAGCTTTGTACACATTCTAGTCTTAGGAAAATTAATTTACTGCTTAGTGCCTAATATCTTCACCCATTAAATGGAGATGGAAATAATATCCACCTCAGATGGTTGTTTTGAGGATTAAATAAAATAATGTATTTGAAGAATTTAGCACAGTCTCTGAGACTTACATAACTTAATGTAAAGTTCAGTTGTTTTCATTTTTTTGGAGAAGCTAGAAATTCATCCAAGAGTCCCTTTTAAAAAATACACTGTGCATAGTTGGGAACATATCAAAGTTGGGAACATACCAATGTTAATACGGTTTCAGATACCTTTGGTAACCTCCCTGTTTATTCTGGGTTTGGAGAGGCTGCCAGCACAAAGAGTGAGAGCCTTTTAGTCACAGCCCTTTGAAGAGAGAACAGTTACCCCCATCTGTCTCCACAACAAATTCTTGCAATGTACAACACAAGAATCAAGAATAAAGTAACCAAATGATGACCTAAATCCACAAATCATGACATACATGCTTCCTTAGTTGATAATTTAGTATTTTAAATACAATGTAATCAAGTAAAATATAGTATAATTGAGCTATAAGTTGTGTGTGCCATTGGTCTGAATCTGTTCTGATGTCACGGAACCCTCTAGAATTTTTTAAAACGTAATTGATCTTTACCACTGCCATCATTTTCCTCTTCCTCATCCTCTTCCTCTCTTCCTCCTCTCCTCCTCCCTATTCCCCTTCCTTCTCTTCTTTTTTCTTCTCCTTTTCCCTTTTTTTCTTGCCATATATTTCTTGCTTCATAATGTTAGAATGATCAGTGTGTCACTAATCATGTAGGAAACATTTGTTTCAAAGGCGTTTTCAAAAAATGGGTAATGCAGAAACAGGCCTTTCTGTCTGAGATTCTGGGGTTCTGGGATTCTATTTGGCGTTTTCAAGATCAAAAGGAAGACAGAGAATATGATGCAGTTCAAAGAAAAAGAAGAGGGGGTGTTAGGCAACATGGTGCCAGTCACCTGCTCCGTAAACTCGGTCTACTCTCCAGGCCCCTCATTTTTTTGTTTGTTTTGTTTTATAAACCAGGAATGGGATCTGCTCACTCCTCTTAGAATTCGTCAATTATATTTGAACTCTTATTTGTATTTTACATGTTGGGAAAGTGAAGAGGAGAAGATATAAATAACTTTTTATGATACAATGTACTGTAACTTTGGTACCATTATATACATATTCAGTTATTGGTTCCTACTAAGTGAGCCTTGTGATCATTGGCAAATCAGTTAAACTCTCTGAACTGCCTTCTTCACTGATAGGTGAGGAATGCTGTTCATTATATCAATATGTCCTACAAAATAGAAGTAAAATACAAAATTATTTGGCATCCAGCAGGTACACAGCAAATTTTGCTCTACAAACAACCTGTGGGACATTTGCATACATTTTAATTGCTATATTTCAAACCATATAAAAGTCATCTCTGATAGAAATCGCCATTGGATGCCATGGTGGGGAATTGGGAAAAGTAACTACTTTTGACATATATCTTAGTCCATCTTCTGCTGCTATAACAAAATACCAGAGTCTGGGCAATTTATAAAAATGGAGATTTATTTCTTACAGTTCTAAAGGCTGGGAAGTCTAAGAGCATTGCACTGGTAAGGGCCTTCCTGATGCATCACAGCAGGAATTGGAAAAGCAAAAGAACATGTGCAAGACAGAGAGAAGACAGAGGCTAAATTTCATCCTTTCATTAGGAATCCACTTCAGTGGTAATGGCATTAATCCTTCTGAGGGCAGAGGCCTCATGATCTAATCATAGCCCTCATAATCTAACCACCTCTTTTAATTGCCATCATAATGGCAATTAAATTTCAACATGAGTTTTTAAGGGGACATTCAAACCATGTAGCAACATATTACCAAATTGTATATACATATACACACATATACACACATAAACATAAAAAAAATTTATATTTGTATTTACCTACTTAGACTATATTAACAATAGATTGCATAATCCATAATGGCAACATTTTGTATGGTTCTTTAGAATGGGAACGATGACAAATTTTTTTAACAGCCCTCAGCTACTTCTGAAGTACCATGTATTTGAAACAATGGATGTGCTCCTATAAACATTGGGCTTGCTTTCTAGAGTTTGCAAGTCAGTTTAGTGTGAGAAAAGAGATGCAAATAAGATGAATCAATATGCAGATGTTTGTTTAATATTCTATAACTTGTGAATTTTAAACAGGCAGTCCTCTTTAGCAACCAGCCAGGTTTAACTGAACCTATAACATTGGTAATATCAGTGGTGTAGTGTATGTTTACCATGTGGGAGGTTCTATTATAAGAGTTATTTACTACTTACGAACAGCCTATGACAAGACACCATCAGTATATCTGTTTCACTTTAAAGGAAATTAAGAGATAGAGAGTTTAACTAAGTTGTCCAAAGTCACACAGCACAAGCTATCTGACTCCATAGCTCAGTAATCACTATGATACATTTTGCTTAGGCTCTTAACAATATGTAAGACATTTACATGTTTCAAAGATTGAAAGGTAAAGGTAATATATAGAATAAAAAATTGATTTCTCTTCCCTGTCTTTTAGCCATTCATGTCACCTTGCTGTTGCTAATAAAACTTTTTGTATGTTTATATATACACTTTCCAGATATAGCAAATGTTCCTTGCCTTTTTTTTTTTTTACAAAAATAGAAGCATACAATACACGCTGTTACGAATTTGTTTTTATTTTTGAGGGGGATGTGTGTGTATACGTGTATTCTCAGCAGTATGTCATGGAGACTGTTTCATAGCCATGCATAAAGACATTGTGTTTTCTTTCTGCAGAACTGGATGAACGTAATTTAACAAGTCCTCTGTTCCTAGACATAAAGTTTGCATTGAATTTATTGTTTTTATACTTTATGCAGAATAACCTTGTACACACGTCACTTGTCATTTGCTTTCCAGTGCAGAGTTTTTAGGATCAGCTTTATTAAGAAATAACTGACACATTATAGACTGCATATATTTAAAATGTACAATTTGATGGGTTGTGACATATGTATATAACTGAACCTCTAATGATGATAAAATAATGAGCATATCCATCAACCCTCTAGATTTCCTCTGAACTCTGTACTTCTTGGCACTCTGTTCTCCCTAACTCTAATCTTAACAGTTTCCCCACATGCAGGCAACCACTGATGTGCTGTCACTACAGACTTTTTTTCATTTTCTGTAATCTTACGTAGTATAGTATGTACTCTTTTGTTGGCCCAGTTGTTTTTACTCAGCGTAATTGTTTTAAGATTGATTCATGTTGTTGCATTTATCAATACTGCATTGCTTTCTTGTTCAATTGATATTTTGTAATTTGTATTTTATTCATTCTGTCTTGACTTTCATTATTTCTTTGCTTCTCCTTTGGGTTTAATTAATCATGTTTTCCTGGTTTCTTAAGGTAGAAACTGAGACAATTAATGTGAGAACTTCTTTTTTTCCTAAGGGTGTTAGTGCTGTAAATTTCCCCCTAAATATTGCTTAGCTGCATCCCACACATTTTGATGTCCTATTTTTTTTTAGTTTTACTTAATTCAAAGTGATTTTGAATAACAAGGTATAAAACTCACAGTGTCAGGCATTTAATAAAAAACTGCCATACAGAAAAAGAAGCAGGAAGATATGACTCATAGGCTACTAAATTCAATCAATTGAAACTTACTTAGAACTGACAAATGTCAGTGTTAACAGATAAGGACATTAAGATAACACTACTTCATGTGTTCAGAAATTAAGAACCATGAAAGATATATAAAAGACGTAAATCGAACTTCTAGAGATGAAGAATACAATGTTTGAGAAGAAAAAGTCAAAAGATGGGATTAATGACAGATTAGACATTGAAAAAGGAAAAAAAAGTAAAATTTATAAACATAGCAGTGTAAATCATCTAAAATGAAACTCAAAAAAAAAAAAGAAAAAGAAAAAGAAAAAGAAAATCCAGACAAATAAACAAATGAACAGCATCGGTGAGCTGTGGAGCAACTTCAAAAACCCTAAAATACAAGTCACAGGAGCAGAGGAGCAGGGGAGATAGAATAAATGTTTGGAGAAATAATGGTCAAAAATTTTCCAAGTTTGATGAAAATCATAAATCCACAAAACCAAGAAGATCAATGAAACTCGAACATAAAAAAGTTAAAAAAAAAAAGGCACCAACTCAAATAAAAAACAAATTGTTCAATATTGGTGAGAAGGGGAAAAAATTATCAGAAACAGCTGGAAAAAGAAAGTCAAGTTACTGAAGAATGAGGATATTTTAAATTACATGTGAGGAAAGTGCCTAAGGGAGACACCTGAAGCTTTCTGCAGTTCTCTCATTGAGCAGCTTTTTTCTCTCTCTGATACTCTGTCCTGAGAATTCTAGCCTTGATCTCTCATGTTTGTCAGCTCCATTTGCCCTATTCAAGCAATCAGCAGGGCTGTACTCTGGTTTCTTATCCCAGCGCCATAGTTTAGAAGCTCCAAAAGTAGTTCAGTTGGGGCTGCCAAAGGGCTCAGCTTGTTTGTTTCTCATCTATTATGGATCACTGTCCTTCATTGTGTAATGTCCAGTGTCTTGAAAAT